>NC_000005.10:89200716-89503746 GCF_000001405.40 Homo sapiens
ACACACTTTGATTTCTTAATTAAAATAAAAAAATATTTTGTTGGCTTTCAAACTAAATTTTGCTACTCAACCTTTTTATTCAAAAATAATCGTGCATACATATACATATATACCAATCGAAAGCAGTATATTACTATAATAATTTTAAAATTAAAAAGAAAAGTTTTTTGAAGGTAAACAATGAACAAAATGTGCTTGCTGTGATGAAAATAAAAATGGAAAAAAGTCTCAGTCATAACAAATTGTTATTGGGGACATTCTATGCACCAAGAATGAGTCATCTCTTTAGATTTCCTTATAGTCTTAGAGGCAGTTACTGTTAGCGTAATAATCCCCATTTTATAGGAAAGGCAGTTGGGCATAGATACTCAAATTTATTACTCTAAGTCCCACATAAAATGGAGAGTTACGTTTGAAACTAGGCACTGTGCCCACTATGCCACTAGAGTCTGGTTTTCAGCCACTAGACTCCATGGCTTCAGCTGCCAGAGTCTTGGTAGCAATCTTGACACAAAAATAAGTATCAAACTGGGGGCAAAAACTAATTTTCATGAAATCTCTGAATACTATTTAACTATATTAATTTGAATAATTTAAAGGAGGTTACTAGAATATTTACTTCTCAATGTTAAACTACTAAAATATCAATGATTTTTCACTTCCTTTAAGTGACAAAGTTGAATGTACATTGATGTATTGATTTATTGCAATTTATCAATTAATTCATCCATCCAAAGGTGTTTTTGAACATGTGTTAAGTGGTAAGTCAATTTAAATCTTTATTGCTTGGTGAGAAATTGTTTTCAAATATAGCTTGAAATATAGTGATATTTTGAGTGAAATTAATATTTTTTAGTAATTATGTCCAAAGTTAAACCTATTATTTTATTACTGAAATTCTATATGAATCCTAAGCATGGTAAAGGGGTGGTTCTTTATTACCCTAGTTGAGCTCATTAAGCTCATTTGAGAGATGTTTAGCTATTGTGTTTTCAGATTAGGAAAATTTAGAGAACTGATTTCTTCTTTCATTTAATGTATTGAAACCATCACCTCACCGTGGGGCAGCCACCTCACATGGAACGCCTGTATTAAAAACTAAACTTCAGAATTCAGTGCTTAAATCATTACAAATAACACCGAAAGGTTTGGCTTAATAAAACTAGGTTTTTATGACAAGATCCCACAATGTCTTGCAAAATACTGACAATTGTATAACAAAAAGGAAAATAGGCTGGGCATGGTGGCTCATGCCTGTAATCTCAGCACTTTGGGAGGCTGAGGCAGGTGGATCATTTGAGGTCAGGAGTTCAAGACCAGCATGGCCAACATGGTGAAATCCTGTCTCTACTAAAAATACAAAAATTAGCTGGGCGTGCTGGCACACGCCTGTAATCCCAGCTACTCAGGAGACTGAGGTGGGAGAATCACTTGAACCCGAGAAGCAGAGTTTGTAGTGAGCCGAGATGGTGCCACTGCCCTCCAGCCTGGCCGACAGTGCGAGACTCCATCTAAAAAAAATAAATCAATAAATAACAAGGAAAATAATGTGCACAGCTTATAAGCAAGTAATTTGGAAGAGGAAATTTATCCTACCCCAAAACTTGTTTTTTTTCATTAGGTATCTGATGGCCTTGATCCATCAGAAATATCTGTCTTATCTAGATCAGTCTGTTTATTCATCCTAATCTTCTATCACTTATCTGAACTTGAGTTCTGCATGTTAGCCCTTATTTATGATCTCTTGATTACTTTGAATTGCTTTTATATGATTTTTCTTGTTCTATGTATCCACAAAGTTAGCTTTTGTACCCTTCATTTCTTCCTTCTCTGTGGCCCCCTGCATAACTGTTATAAGTGGTTCTCAAAACGGAGTATCCACAAGAATCATTTGGGAAACTTATAAAACATCTCTAGCTTTCTAGATTCCACCTAGGGAGGTTCTGACTCTATTGATTTGGGCTTTGTCCCAAGAATCTGTATTTTCAAAATGTGTCCCATTAATTCTGATGCCGTTGGTCCTCTGAGGACAATTCTGGGAATTTTTTGCTGGAGGGAAGGTATGAAAAAGTAAGTTGGTATATTGCAGATATGGGTATGTGGAATTTCCAACACTGGAAATATATTGCAATGCTATGACTTCAAACACTTACAAAGATAAAGTGAAATGGTTTTTTATGGGGGCAAATTTCTTCTAATTTGGGCACCTTGTAAAATGGAAGAGATGCATAAAAAACTGAGTATGAATGAACATGATGGTTTCTATGTTAGTTATAAATGCAGATGTTGTACCTTTTTATCCAAAGATACTTCAATCAAAAATATTCGATAGCCAGTATCCTAACTTTGTTTCTCAGTCTGTCTGTGTGTAAATTTTCTCTTCTGTTTATTCCGGTCACCCCCTCCCCTGGAATGACTAGTGGAATAATTGGCTATGATCTGTGATATTATAAAATATGTATTTGGTCTTCATTCCTGTTTTCTGGCATATGATTCCTAAAATCCTTGGAATCGCCAAAGTGATGGTGATGTCTTCTTGTATGTTAATGAGTTGACTGATTTCTAGCAGCTTCAGGATGGCAACTGGTCACCAGAAGGACCAAGCCATGATTAGAGGATTGGCACTATCAGCTCCACTCCCCACTAATCTTCAGGGTGGGGAGAAGGGCTGAAGATTAAGTTGATTACCAGTATTTAATGATGTAATCAACCTACATAATAATGTTCTATTAAAATCCAAAAGTTCAAAACTTCAGAATAGCTGAGCACATGGAGGTTTCTGGAGGATGATGTGCCTGGGTGGGGACGTGGGGTGGGGCGGGGAGCTGGAAGCTCCTCACCCTATCCATCTCTTCATCTATACACTTTGTAATAAACCAGTAAACATAAGTGTTTCCCTGAGTTCTGTGAACCACTCTAGCAAATTAATTGAATCCAATGAGTGAGTCTTGGGAACCGCAATTTATAGCCTGTCCATGAGAAACACAACAACCTGAGGCTTGGATTTGGCATCAGAAGTTGGGGCAATCTTGTGGGACTAAGTCCTCAACTTGTGGGATCTGAAACTTTCTCCAGGGTAGATAGTGTCGGAATTAAATTGGAGGATACCCAGCTGGTGTCCACCACATAATTGATTGCTTGCTTGGTGTGTGGGGAAAAATCTCCAAACATTTGTTCACAGAAGTCTTCTGTGTTGATTGTTGTGGGGTGAGAGCAGAGGAAAAGCAGACTGTTTTTTTTTTCCTCATAGAGACTCCATGAAGGAAAAAGTATAGTATTGATGAGGAATACCTTGTTATATTTCAATAAGGATACATGGATTCTATATCATATAAGGTAAGATACTGATTCTATTAGGCTTTCAAAATTGGTATAAATTTGGAGATATCATACTCTTAGGGCCAGTTAAATATCATTTTTTTAAAAAAATTTCTACCCTATTTTGTTTCTTTTTACATAGCTTCTTTCTACATATTTTTGGTAGTTTTAAACATTTCAAATTTGACATGAAAGTCATGTGTGTGTATATATACATACAGACTTTATATACAAAGTTTATATATATGACTGTGTTTGTTTACATTATAGTATATTGGAATGCTCAGGTGAAGTCAAATGAATATGACTGAAGAAAATCTCTCAAATATCTGTATTTCCAAGGACTATTAACATAAAGATTAATTTAGAATTAAATGAAACCAAAGCCTCTGTAACTCTAAAAAAACAAAAGGTTTTCTAAATAGCAAACAACCATATATTTATTGTTTGAGTCAATTTTATCATAGGTTGCTTTGATGTATGTCATTAAAACCTATGAGGAAAATTTTGAAATATGAATTAGATGAGAGTCTACCTAATAAATGCCCAAGAAGCATCTCCGTTCTAATAATTTTTAAAATTAAGCTAGACATTTTGTCCTCTCTAGTAATGGAGAAAATGTTTAATAATTTTAAAATCAAACTGAGTAGGATGAGTTTATCTGCTCAGTGAGGAACATTTCTCTTGTTATAATTTAGTTGAAATCATTTTTATAGATATTGGAGTTCCTTCACAACCACAATGTCTTTTTTTTATGTTGCCTTTTGGCTTTTATTCTGAGGCAAACCTTTTTTAATTTAAACATGATGTGTTGTATTTACTTTGAATGCCAATACATTGTGTATTACCCACCAAGTGATCTTTTTTTTCTGCTCTTCAGAATTAAATAAACCAAGACACAACACATGTCTTAAAACCACAATAGTTTATTTATAAGAAGAAAGACAGCCCATCAAACTTTCCACAGGAATTTTAAAAATCCATCAGGGACTCAAAGCCTTTACTTTCTTTCCATTCATATAATTTTGGTTTTGGCTTAACACTTAGGACAATATTCACTTCAAAAGAATATCCCTTGCATTTTAAGTAAACAATCATTGTTCTACATAGACTTTTAATTTTTCCTCTTCTGCCCTTTGCCACTTTTCTACTTTGGTTCCATAACTTTGCTAGCATTGCATCCAGAGCATGCCAGATATAAAATCCTTTTTCAGTTTATATTTTGATATGAAGACTAACTCATGAAAGATCGAATTGTTACATTTTGTTTCATTTCCAATTATTCTTGACGTCTATAGTTTCTTAACATTTTAAAATGATACTTTGATTATAGGGGATGAGATAGGACAAAATAACTGCAATTAGAATGAAATCGATTCTGGCTTTAGAAAGGAAAATTCAGTTTAAACATGATGCAAGGCAATGAGGTTTCATTTGGTTCAAATTTTGTGGGACTGGATAAGCTAAAACATATGATCTAGGGTGGCCTTAGTCTCATCCCAAGTGGATCTCATCAAGCAACTTCAAACCTCACTGCAAGAGACATGGTTACTGATGATCAAGTGTGGGTCAACAACAAATATTTATAAATTGCAAAGTTCTATCTTGTTCTTCTGTGTCAATAATAAGTTTACAAATTGTAGATTTACCTGTTTAATTGTTAAGGGTATCTGGAATATGTAAAGGTTCTCTCTTTCTCTGGCCCATTGAGGTCATAAGCAGTTGAAAATTTACTTCAACTTCACAGTTATACTGGAATCCTGAAACTTGCCTTTCATACTGATAAGTTGGTTCTCTCGTTTTCTGGCCCATTGAGGTCATAAACAATTGAAAATTTACTTTAGTTTCACAGTTATAGTGGAAATCCTGAAACTTGCATTTCACACCAAAAAGTCATATTCAGCAATGTGTGATACTTATTATATGTGATATGTATGATAACATATTTTTACCACAACTTAAGGACTTGCAAAATGAAGAACAAGTGCTTTTATGATGAAGATATAAAAAGCCATAAATTTGCTTCAAATAAACTTATTGTGGACAGTGCTATACTAAGTAGTGGCCAACGCACAGTCTTGGCCCTTAGACAGTTGACAGCTTTTCAGCTCTTCTTTTTCCCTGTAAGTAATGACTTATAAAAGTCCTGATATATAAGATATATACAGGTGTTCCCTATCTTACTTAAATGTTCTCATCCCAGAGACCTTTGCAAAATAATCTTATGTGCATTAAAATGTGTAATTTATAACTCTATATATTATTATAGCATATAAATATATGAATACATACTTACCAGTTAAATATTTTCAGTTTTAGTGTCATATATATTCACAGATGCTTTTGCTATATAGAAGTGCTGTCTGTGTGGTATTAATATTTTCCCAGTGTGTTCTAAATTAACACATACTTATGGACTGGTCTTGCCCTCTTGCTCTCACTTGATCTCTCTCAACTCGTGATTATAATGCAATATAAGGGAGGTATGAAAACTCCAGATATGATTAAAATAACAGGTGCTTGTACAGAAAGAATTCATAAGGCACAGGAAGAAAAGGACTTCTTTGTGGCAAATATTAATTTTCTGCAACTTTGCTCCCTGCTGTTTGGGCCTGCAACCAACACCTTTGTATTTCCTGGAAAATCCAATATGTTACACCCAATTCTCTATCATATGCAGTGGAGTTCAGTGTTTAAGAACTCAAACTCACTATTATGCCACTTTCCAGCCTAGTGTCCTCAAGCAAGAAAATTTACCTATTTGCCTTCTGGTTTTCTCACATGAAAAACTGAATCTAAGAAGTATACATTTTCACAATTAACTTCTCTGAGTTTAGGTGGAGTATTGCAATAGATGCAATATCATAATTTAATTGGTAACACCTTTTTTCTTGGTGCTACATTCCATGATGGCATGTATAACAATCTATATTGTTTTAAATGTGAGGAAGTATGATAATTATTACTCCTTTATAGGTTGTTGCTGAGAACTAAATGAATTAATGTAAACAAGGCATTTAGTAGAATGACTGGCAATAAGTATTGGTTATCACTATATTTGCCCGATGGAACCCATTGCTTAAGCTTGAGTCTGTGAGAGGGGGTGTTGTGTGTCTCATTAGGAGGAAAAAACAGTTGTGCTTTGGTCTCTGTTATAAAACTCAGTGTGGAGGTGGGGAGAGGTTAATTGCCTTGGCTTCTTCAGTATATTCTAAGCATCCTAAAACTAAGAAGTGAGTGTTCTTTTTTAAATCAACTATTAGACATTCATGAATGTGGTTCATATTCAATAAATGTTTGTGAAGCATATGACCCCTTTCTTGCTTAATTAATCTTTTTTGTATTGGCAAAATAAGTTTTAAAGTGTCTTACCACTAGTGGTTGGAAAATAATTACTGGCTTACATGTGTAATGCTCAATAAGTAAGCATTATTTCTACTTAGTCATGGTTTCCTAACCCTCTTACAAATACTCTCTCTTTAATAAACACATTTAAAATTTTCTTCTACTAGTTTGATACTTGTGAAACTGTTACTGAATAATTGAATATCAGGCTGGGCACGGTGACTCAACCCTGTAATCCCAGCACTTTGGGAGGCCAAAGCAGGCAGATCACTTGAGGTCAGGAGATCGAGATCATCCTGGCTAACACGGTGAAACCCTGTCTCTACTAAAAATACAAGAAATTAGCTGGGCGTGGTAGCGAGTGCCTGTAATCCCAGCTACTCAGGAGGATGAGGCAGGAGAATTGCTTGAATCCAGGAGGCAGAGGTTGCAATGAGCCGAGATTGTGCCACTGCACTGAAGCCTGGGAGACAGAGTGAGACTCCATCTCAAAAAAAAAAAAAAAAGAATATCAAATAGATTCACTTATAAATTATCTGAAACTTTTCATTAGACCTCAAGTAGAGAATCAGATCCACCTTAATGATTAATGGGTGCCTTACAATTGTTATAAATCTTCAGTATATATGCACACTCATATTGCTTCTCTTTCTCTCACCTTCATCAAAGATCGGGGAATGTTGGGCAATCTTACTCCCTGTTTCACCATTTATATGGCATGCCATTGCATCTATTGCTTCCACATGATTCTTCCAAGAAATTGCTCCAGTACAAACTTCTCCTTAAAGAGAAGGCAGCAATTCCTTCAGTGCATCCAAGATAGCGCGCGCGCGCGCGCACACACACACACACACACACACACACACACACGCACGCACCAGTCATTCTGCAGACTCCTTCTGGATCTAAAGGTGTTACTTTTCAGCAAGCCAGGCCTTAGATGATTAAACTGGACTCCAAGCAACCCCAAGCTTGAAAAAATGAATGAAAAATTAATGAAAATAATAGATTGAGATGGGAGAGGACACTCTAATATGTTTGGCCATGAGGATTTGATAGTTTCTAATTCTACATCAGGGGTTAAAACAAACATTTTCAATAAATGTCCAGTTATTTTAGGCTTTGTGGGTCATATGATCTATGTTGCCACAGCTCAACTCTATTGTAGATCAAAGGCAGCCATAGACTACATATACAAATGAATGTAGCTGTGTTTCAATAAAACTTTATTTACAAAACCTGTGGGAGACAAAGGGCCAGGCTTGTCCTTTAGGTCATCATAGTTTGTTGACCCCTGCTCTATAGAAAGACATTGTCTCAAAATTTTAATGTATTTATTATAAGATATTAAGCATCTATTATTTGCTTACTACTATAATTTTTAAAACTTCCCAAACTACTTTTGTTTTCCCATAAGCAAGACTCCAGCTCTTGTTTATCTTCCTACTTGACTCACAGTTGAATGTCTTATTTTGTACCCATGGTTGTCTGTTTTCTCCATAACAAGCATTTTCAGATAAAAGCTCGTTCACTTTATATTGTGGATGCATTAGAGCCTCAGATAGATCTTGAGTGAGTAACATGCATATCTGATGTGCTCATTGGAAAAATTGGACTTAACAAAGTGAGGACAGAGAAAACAGACGGTGCCATTGTGCTAAAGCACCCTTTTCATATGTGAATGGATTTCCTGACTCTTTCCCTGCACAGCTGTAGCCAGAACACCAAGGAATTGTGCCCTCCAAGTTGTGTCTTGTATTGGAGGTCATAATTACATTTTAAATTGGGATAGCTAGAATTTTGTCTCACTCATTATGCTGTTTTGTTTTTCTTTTTCCTGTGCAGAGGTCCTTATTATCCCCCCATTGAAATAAGATCAGTTTCCATTTCTTGCTAAGATCCTTTATTTCACCTCAGAAATCACAATATCCAACAGGGGGCCCAGAATAGGTGTTCAACAAATGTTTGTTGAAATAATTAAAACAGTTGTGTTATGCAAGGCCACTGAGGCTTTCCCTTGCCTCTTACTTATAGACATAATATCTTGGCGTTAGGCATAAATTTCATTTTTTACAGATACATTCAATATGTTCGCTGCAGTCTTTTGTTCTTCCAACTGGAAAGATAGCAGCAAATTTGCTGGAGCATGTTTTGTTACATCCCTAAAGAATGTATAATCACTTAAGACTTTAATTTTTCCAAAGAATTACAAATCACTATTTTCCTCTCTGAACAAGCTATTGGCTCTCCTGAAAACATAGACAATACAATATTATAATTTTTTAAAAGTTAACGAAACTTATTTTTGTTCATGTAATATATAGTAAAGCATTATGTATATATATATTTCTTTTTCTGCCTACTACTGTTTATGCATTACATGCTAGTATTGTTTCTATGATTAGATGTTTTTCAGGCATTTGTCTTAAATTAAATTTCCATATGTTTAAGGCAGTGACTTGCTAACGCAAAACTTTGGCATTTGCATGTATTTTATTCCATTGCAAAATTCTATAGCATCTGTAATTATTTAATGATCAAAACAGTTACTTGATCTTGTCAATATTGCTATTTCTAACTAACATATGAAAATGGAGATGTCCTTTTTTCTCTTTCACATATTATCACATGAAATTGAAAAACAGAGTAAAAAAATTTTCATTCTTAAGTAATTATTGCTTATCATCCCAACCTGAGAAGCATTGAGCTAAATGGAGAAATGCTACTTTTCCAAAGGCAAAAATTCAATTTACAATTAGCATTTGGAATTCGTCTGATAGGAAAATGACCTGGAAATTAATAATACATCTCTAGCAGGAGAGAAGAAGAGTCAAAAGAACTCTGGGCCTTCCCGATCTGGTAACTATTTGTATTCTAGTAGAATCAACCTATGAGAGAGTCTGTTAAGACCCTATAACACTTTCCGTAGGTTTAGTAATAAAAATAACACCATACTTCATCAATCTTGAATCACATCTTTACACATTTTATCTAACATCATTTTAATCATGATGTCCTTTATGGTCAATTGCACTTTATATTAGATGAAGTGTAGTATTTAAAATATGACAATTACCATTTATTGAGCATATATTATGTCTAAGCCACTGTTTTAGGCTTTTTACAAAAAGTATGTGTTTAACCTTGTGAGATCTTAAATACCAGAAAGTAGGGATTCAGAGAGGTGCATAACTTGCCTAGAGTCATAAGCCTGGTAAGTGGCAGAACTAAAATTCAAATCTGGATCTCTATGACTCTTGACCACTTGACTACATTGCTGACATGGAAGAGGAGAAAAAGAAAGATGACTATGTGGATATAAGGGTGTACCTCAGAACCAAGAAAAGCAGATGGAATTAGACCTCAGAAAATGATGGACCAGGAATTACAACTACGTCAGGCTTTTCTTAGCTTTCTCTTTGTTGTATCTCTTTCTTCCTGAACCTGTGCTTTCTTATTGCTTTCTGCATGCTGCCTTTCTCCATTTTGTTATATGGCAGAAAGTTTCCCTTTACACATCATCCAAACTATTTAAAATAGCCTGGCTTCCAATATCTATGGAAAATAGCTGCCCTGTACTAACGTGAGAGTTGGGCTATACTGCTGTCAATTGCAAAGAGTTTCCAAAGAATGAGGAACTGTTAGATCATGGAATGGATTAATACTCCAAAAGTTGTAGAGTCACACATTAGTGTGATTGAGATATGTTCTTTTCCTATGTTGGTTTGAAACGCACACAATTCACAGGACTGCGTATATTTGGTTCTTACTTTGAAACAAACCAGTTTCCTTCAGGTGCTGCTATAATCTGAATGTTCGTGTCCTCCCAAAATTCATATGTTGAAATTGTAACCCTTAAGGTTATGGTGTAAGAAGTGGAGCCTTTAGAGGTGATTAGATCACGAGAGCAGAGCATTCAGGAATGAGATTAGTGCCCTCATAAAAGAGGCATGAAAGAGACCTCTCATCCCATCCCTTCAACCATGTGAGGACACAGTGAGAGGGTGGTTACTATGAACCAAAAAATTGTCCTTCACCAGACCTGAATCTGCCAGCACCTTGATCTTGACCTTCCCAACCTCCAAAAGTAGAAGAAATAAATTTCTGTTGTTCATAAGCCACCCAGTTTATGGTATTTTGTTATAGTGCCCAGAATGGACTAAAACAGATGATGTATGCAGCTAACTTTTGGTCCAACTAGCCTTGCAGTTCACTCCCTGACTTGGATGTGTACACATGGTTTCCTCACTATGCCTTCTAATATTTAAAGTAATATCTGCCAATAAGTAATTTTTAAAACTAGTGCTATCTATTTAGAAGAAGCTGATATAAAGTGAGAGAAACTTCCTGGGTAATGTGAAACTTAAATCAAACTTTGAAAGGTATATAGAGTTTGGGTGTACAGAGAAGGGAGACACTAGTTAAGGGAAAGAGCAGCCTCATTGGCTGAAATGGGGATATAAAAAGGCTTAGTATAGCAAGAAAGAAAATAAATAGACATGGAAGACTTCATTTTAAAGAGACTTGAAAATCATTAGGAAGTTAGTGTGTAACAAATCGTGGAGAACTGTGACACAGACCACATAACTATTCAACAAATTTGTTTCTTTTTGTTCCTGGAAAGATGATAAACTACATTGCCAAACTCCTTTGCAGATTACGTGGCTGAATGACTTATTCTTGCCAATGGAATGTGGTTGGGAGATCTGGTTCATAAAAACCTCTGGTGTAATCTTTCACTTTCTCCCTTTCCTATTTGCTGATTTGATTTTGGTGCCCAAGTTGAAAATGGCAGAACTTCTAACTGTCTGTTATCACCATATGGAACAGAGGGCCTTCCCTCCTTTCAATTGGAATTTGCATGAGTGAGAAATAAACTTCTATTGGGATAAACCGTTCAAAAGGCCATTGTAGGAGCTACCTAATACAAACAACTAATGGCCCAAGCTAAAGTGCTCAATTTTCATCTCATAAATGTGACGGGGCTTTTGAGTAAAAGGTCAGCAGGATGAAATAAATGTCTTCTAAGACCAGTTTGGCAAAATGGAGCTGGACAGGCAGAAGAAGAGACTGGGGCCAAAGACTACACAGAGGACATTTATTGAAAAAGCCCAGACAGAGGAGAACCAAGGGGATAAAGTCATACAAGGACAAAGGAACAGAAAGTTCCGTATAGTGAATGTGAAAGTTATCAAAATTTCATTGATGCCAAAGGGCTAAATCTTAAGAAAAGGTCCAAGAATTTGATGGTGTAGAGGCCAGTGATGATCTTTGAAATGTTCATGTATGTGGAATAATATAGTGGTTTAAGGTGGAAATGCATAGTGTCAGGAAAAAACTAATTAGGCAAGAAGGTGGTTTTTTGTTTGTTTGTTTGTTTTGTTTTATTTTTTTGGAGAAGGAGTCTCACTCTGTCGCCCAGGCTGGAGTGCAGTGGCATGTAGTTAGCTCACTGCAACCTCCACCCTCCGAGTTCAAGAGATTCTCCTGCCTCAGCCTCCCGAGTAGCTGGGATTACAGGTGCCTGCCACCATGCCTGGCTAATTTTTTGTATTTTTGGTAGAGATGGGGTTTCACTATGATGGCCAGGCTTGTGTTGAACTCCTGACTCGTGATTCACCCGCCTCGGCCTCCCAAGAAGGTCTGTGTTAATTTAAAAATAAAATTTTGTATGGTAAAAATCTAAATTGATTAATAAGTAAATAGCCAGTGTATGGTTTCAACAAGACTCTATGAGGGTTGGACATTATAAAGCACTCTCCATTAGTCCCTGCCTTACTCCATGATACCTGGCACTAGTGGATTACGGTCCTCCTTTTCCTACTGAGATGATCTCAGAATTCTTCTCAAAACCATGCTCTAGGTAGCAAGTTCCAATTCATTGGAGTTGGTGACTGAAGTAGTACCTTTTCTCTATCTGTGTGCTTTAGGTAATTACATGGATTTTGCCATTCTGAGGATTAGGGAGGAGACTGAGAAGTAGTACCAATACAACTTACCTGTACATGCCTAAGTTGTGTTGGAAGTTTCTCAGACCCATGGCAGTGAAAATTCATTATAATTCTGCACTCATTTTTTGTCTATGGGGCCTCTTTCTTATATCGATTTTCTCCTCAATTGGTATCATTATTATGTGATTGTCTTTCAGTATTATGCTTTAGGGTCACTCGGTTCTTTATGATTGTCATAAATATTATTTAATGATAACGTTTGCATACAATCTTTTCTTTTTGTTAAATCCTTAAGCATGCTGTACTTCATGTAGTTCAATAGATTAAAGGAAAACTACTTGAACTCTTGTGTCAATTTTTTTTTCTTTTGCCTTTCAGGGATTCTCTGTCTGGGACTTAGTCTGAGCTGTAGGCTTTGTGCCAGCTGGAAGCTGGACTGATTTCTGTGAGTGGAGCCACAGCCCTCATAAGTTAGTGTAGCATTACAGTGGTTTTCTGTTTCCCATTAGCTGTTTAAGAAGAAGCACTCAAATGTGATCAGCATTTTGTAACTTAAGTTCTGAATAACATTGGTAGCCCCAAGACCAGTAATAGCAAGATGGAAAGCACAGTAATGGTATTTTCTGCAGAAGTATGTATGTATATTACTGCTTACATTTTGATTGGGTCAAAAAATCAGAAAATTCTTGAATGGAGTTTATGACATGAAGGTGTTTAAAGACTCTATGGGAGACAAAATATAACATCTATTTTGTTTATAGTTGAACATTCTTAGTTAAAATATAATGAAATGAGATAATAATAATAGCTAACATGTATTGAGTATTATGTGTCAGGCACTGTTCTAAATATGTTTTATGTGTTGTCTTATAGACTATCTAGCAACTATCAATTTATCCTAGAGAAATTACTAAACTATATTAAAAAGAAAACATTTAAAAATTAATATTTATGCTTAATAATATGCATAGAAATTTAAGACTATTGGCTCTCACTTAAATATAGCCCTAAAGGATCCTAAATTACTGGATCTAGCTCATTAAAATCACGGGGCTCTTATGACTATCTGTCATTTTTCTCTGTCAGTGAGTCTCATTTTCTTTGTGTGTGTATTTTTTTCACACTAGCTGTGGGAATTAAGGAATAATAATTATCTAAAGAAAAATATCTTCATTAAAGAAATATGTTAATAATTATCATCAAGAGAAATCTTATCTAAGATTCAGAGCTATTTTTTGATCTTTGAGTCTATATAGATATTTATTATTTGAAAAATAAACATTTAATAATACATTTATTCTGATACTTCTTAAATGCTTTTACAGAAAGAATAAATACACAGGTTTTGTTAAATGATTTTTTGCAACTAGTATTTTTGTCTTATATGAAGAAAAGCAAAAAAGCCTAGGTTTTCAATATATATTCTTTCTTTTTTAATATTCTCATTTTTAAGAATTGCAATTCTTCCTGTTGTCTGGTGCTGCATTTTATATACTTTTTCTCTTGGAATTAGTAGAAGTGATATTTTTATGGCATTTTTATATGCATAGGTATCTTTTTTCTGATTTATATAGCTATATATACTTGCTTAATTTTAACTAAGTTTTGTTTTTTGTTTTTTTTTTTTAAAGATAGTGGTTCCTGGGAAAGTTAACCTTCAAAATAATGTTGAAATGACATACTAACCTTAAGAGAATAACACTTTGTCTTAAATACATGTAAAATTCTGAGTGGGAGGTATACATGAATGTAGGGCTGTGTTTCAAGTTTCCAGGCACTGTTTGAGAGGGCAGGGAAGGTCAACTGCTGTCTCCACTATCCCAGTCCAAGCCAAAGAACAGCCTTTCTTTCTTGGAAATTGTAACTTTTCATTCTAACTTGGTTTATATTAGTGCAGATTCATACAGTGCTACTGGGAGTCACATCTTCCAAGGAGATCTTACATTATTCTAAAACCATAGTTGGTTCCCTCCTTGTGTGGGTCAAATGTAGCAAAGATGGTTTGGATAGCAACTTCTTAATTATATTGCAGTGCCTTAGGTAATTAGATATCATAGACCAGTACTTCTCAAACTTTAATGTCTATATGGATCACTGGGGGAACTTGTTAAAATGCAAATTCTGCTTCAGTAAGTCTGGAAGAACCTGATATTCTGCATTTCTAGTAAGCTCCCAAATGATGTCAATGTTGCTGATCCATGTTTTGCACTTTGAGTAGCAAGGCCTTAGAGAATGATAAGCAAGAAGGAAAAATGGCCTTAACTTGACTCTTGCTCGACAGTGGGCATCTTCCCTGACTCTACACTTTTCATTGATTCTGGACTTCTAGTTTCTGGTTCAACATGCTGGTGGTCCTATTCAGGGCTTTCACACAAGCTCTCTGATAAAAAAAATATATAAAGTCCCCACTCATCACCTGGCTCATGATCATGCTTGAATCTCAATCTATGCATGTTTTCCTGTGGGAAAACATTCATTCCCTTCAAGCTGGGGCTAGGGATTACCACAGCACATCAATGGCACTATTAATAATCATTTCACTTGTATATACTTGGGCAATGTCTGCTTTTCCCATTACATGATGATGACGTCCATGACACCAGAGCTTATATCTATCCTTAGAACTTCCTTTAGGTGTTGGCAATCAAGTCATCTGCCCTGACTATAACCTCAGAAGACTCTTCTTTTGGAGTGACTTCCTTGAAATTTATTAAGTCCCGCTCTTATATCTGGCACCTATCCAGATTCAAGCCCAGACGGGAATGTTCATGGGTCCAGTCCCTGTTTCACTTCTTTGGGCAGCACTCTTCAACTCTACACCAGCCCCTACATACATTAGCCAACTCTACACCAGCCCCTACATACATTAACCAGATGCTAGGGTACTAGCTCTGGGACTTGCATCTATAGGGTCATCCTGGGGTCCCAGGCCAAGCTGCTTCCAAAAGGGAGGCCTGGCAAATAGATTCTTCTCATTGGCCAAGTGGAATTTCTTTTTCTGAATCTTGTGATTTGGGACTGCCAGAATGGTGCTGACAGTGCCGATTGTGGGTGATTCAAATTGTTTATATAAATAGGGCCCTGCAAGAAGAATTTTTTAAGGTCTAAACACTTAAGAGTGGTCCTGTCCATCTGATCATTGATGTATTCTTAGGTACCCCAAAATAAAATGAATAACTAATAAATTGTATAATATAACAGGATCTAAGCACTAAAAAAAAGTGGAATGGGGCTGAGAGTTGATTTTCATTTGGCAGCTGCTAGACATGATCTTGGACTCTCAAGGTATTCCTGGCCACCAGGTAAGACAAGTAAAGTTATGATGCAAGCCACAAATATGACAATCCCTCAAGATGCATTGTTCAGATGACACTTTCAATTTTAACTACAGTAGAGCCCAACCTCACATTTCTACGGAGGTTTCAGCATTTTCTTAACTCATTTTCTGTTGCATTGATACCACAATGTGTGCTCCATATGTGAAAGTAAAGTTAAATCAAAAGCTGCCTTTTCACTCCAGAAATCTGTACTTACTATATTGGGCTATAACTGTGATATCGGAAGGTAAAACTACATGAGTAATACAATCTGACATGCTGAATCATAATTGGGTGCAAAATAAATACACTGCTCCCAAAAATGACGCCTAAAAGATCATTCTTAACCAACATCTTAAGCTATTGATATTATTTTGGAATTTTTTTCACTTTTAACCTAACTTTAAACCATGTGCTTTATTTTTCTCTTCCAGCCTAGCAGGAGTGAAGACCAAAAGACAACTATCATGTTTGGGATCACTTTTCCAACAAGGAGGTTTCTGAAAGACATGACATTTTCATTGGAAGTCTCACAGTTAAAGAAATATCACTGAAAACACATTAGACTAACAGTAGGCCCAGCTAGATTCTATAGCCTTGGACAATTTTGGATGGGCAAAGCAAGGCAATTCGTTGGGCCTCAGTTTCCTCATTCATAAATTGAGGCTGAACTAAGTTATTGGAGGGGTCTTTTCTGTTCCAAAACTTGTGAGACAAAGTCCTTCAGATAATCATTTATATTTTCTCAGCCACTGCAGGCTTGGTTTCAAGACTGTGATCCACTAAGGTCAGGAGATCGAGACCATCCTGGCTAACATGGTGAAACCCCGTCTCTACTAAAAATACAAAAAATTCACTTGGTGTGGTGGCCGGCGCCTGTAGTCCCAGCTACTCAGGAAGCTGAGGCAGGAGAATGGTGTGAACCCGGGAGGCGGAGGTTGCAGTGAGCTGAGATCGTGGCACTGTGCTCCAACCTGGGTGAAAGAGCAAGACTCCGTCTCAAAAAAAAAAAAAAAAAGACTGTGATCCCAGTAAAATATGAAGCCAGGGTTGGGTGGCCACTTCATAAAGCAGTTCTGTGGGGCCTCTTTGTCTCACAAGTTATCTTTACATTGGATGACACTGAATTAGGAGTTGAAGTGAACTTGGTTGGATTTGGATACTGCTCTAAAAGTTAGAAAATTAGGTCATTTGACATTTCTGCTCCGTGTTTTGCCATGTTTGGTTCCTACATACTTTTGCAAAGATCAAGGAAGACCTCTGAGGCATCTCTTTATCTCTTATTTCTATTACTATCACCCCAATTCAAGTCATCATCATTACCCTGGACTTCTGGGATAGCTTCCCACTGTTCCCACTCATCTACTCTTGCTCACTGCCTTCCCCCCAAACCCCCTAAAATTCATTCTCCAGATAGTGACTAGAGTGAATCGACTATATCTTCTCTTTTCCTGCTCTGGATATAATTTATATCTTTTCCTGCTCTGGATATAATTTATATCCTTCATTCTCCATTTCTGTGCCCCTGTGTGCCAACTGCTATTGTCTGCATTAGATGGACTTCCTTATCTTCTGGCTTCTATTGAATTTGGTGAACTGGGGAGGGTCAAGTAGGAGATCAGTGTGTGGGAGAAGAAAGAAGTTTGAGTATTTATCACCTAGGAAGGGGGACTTCCAGGACACTGTTTGGCAGGGATGCTGGGCCTCTACTGGAGGCCTAGTTCCGACTGTGTTGCCCTCTCCTTCAGCTACAGTTACAGTTATAGTGCTTTCTAGATTCTGGGAACTCCTCCCTTTCCTGCTCCTTCAGGCCTAGGAATGGTAATACTTCCTAATTGTTGCCAAGTCTAGTGTATTTTACAGTCCTCTATTTTTCCGTTTTAACCTTACTGTTATCTGAGTAGGTCATCTCCTTCCTGCCAAGTCATTAACTGGTACAGGAGGGAGAAGGAGAGAATTCACATACCATAAAATTCACCTTTTTGCAGTGTATGTGTCATCGGGTTTTGGTATATTCACAAGGTTGTAGAACCTTCACCATCTAAATTCAGAACAGTGTAATCAACCTGAAAAGAAATCCTGCATCCATTCCCAGGCACTCCTCATTTCCTTTTACCCCACTGTCTGGAATCCTCTGCTCTGGATATTTCATATAAATGGAATAATACCATATGTAGACTTTTTTTTCTTATTTTTTGGTTAAGCACAATGCTTCAAGGTTTACCCATGTTGTAGCATGTATCAGTACTTAATTCGTTTTTATGACCTAATGATATTCCATTGTATGTACGTAAATATGTGTATATATATATATATATATGAACACACATATACACACACAATGGAATGTATGTATACATGTCACATTTTGTTTATCCATTAGTTAGTTGATGGACACTTACGTTGTTTCCATGTTTTTGCTATTTAGAATAATGCTGCTATAAACATTCATGTACAATTTTTTTTATGAACTTTTGTTTTCAATCCTCTTGGGTATATACCTAAGAGTAGAATTGCTGGTTTGTATAACTCTATGTTAGACTTTTTTTTTTTTTTTTTTTTTTTGAGATGGAGTCTTGCTCTGTCGCCAGGATGGAGTGCAGTGGCACAACCTTGGCTCACTGCAACCTCTGCCTCCTGGGTTCAAGCAATTCTCCTGCCACAGCCTCCAAAGTAGTTGGGACTACAGGCACGTGCCACCATACCTGGCTAATTTTTTTGTATTTTAGTAAAGATGGGGTTTCACCATGTTGGCCAGGATGATCTCGATTTCCTGTCCTCATGATCCACCCACCTTGGCCTCCCAAAGTGCTGGGAATACAGGCATGAGCCACTGAGCCTGGCCACTCTATGTTAGACTTTTTGAGGAATTGATAAACTGTTTTCCATAGTGGCTGGACCATATTACATTTCACCAATGTATGAGGGTTATAATTTCTCCACATCTTTGTCCCACTGATTATTTTCTGTGCTTTGTTTTATTGATTATAGCAATCCTACTCAATAGACATTGTGGTTTTGATTTGTGTTTCTCTAATGACTAATAATGTTGAGCATGTTTTCATGTACTTATTAGCTAGTATAACTTATTGGGAGAAATGCCTGTTCAAATCTTTTGTTCACTGATTAATTATCTGTCTTTTTATTGTTTAATTGTAAAAATTGTCTCTTTATTTTTGAATTATAAACATTTTATTTCATTCTGTGTTTTTTCACTTCCTTGATGGTATGCTTTGACACATGAAAATTTTCTATTTTGGACCACCCAAGATGGCCGAACAGGAACAGCTCCAGTCTATAGCTCCCAGCGTGAGCGACACAGAAGATGGGTGATTTCTGTATTTCCAACTGAGGTACTCAGTTCATCTCATTAGGAGTTGTTGGACAGTGGGTGCAGCCCACAGAGTGTGAGCTGAAGCAGGGTGGGGCATCGTCTCACCCGGGAAGTGCAAGGGGTCGGGGGAGTTCCCTTTCCTAGCCCAGGGAAGCCATGACAGATGGTACCTGGAAAATTGGGACACTCCCGCCCTAATACTGTGCTTTTCCAATGGTCTTAGCAAATGGCACACCAGGAGATTACATCCCACGCCTGGCTTGGTGGGTCCCACACCCACGGAGCCTTGCTCACTGCTAGCACAGCAGTCCGAGATCAAATAGTCAGGCGACAGCGAGGCTGGGGGACGGGTGTCTGCCATTGCTGAGGCTTGACTAGGTAAACAAAGTGGCTGGGAAGCTCGAACTGGGTGGAGCCCACTGCAGCTCAAGGAGGCCTGCCTGCCTCTGTAGACTCCACCTCTGGAGGGAGGGCATAGCTGAACAAAAAGCAGCAGAACCTTCTGCAAACTTAAACGTCCCTCTCTGACAGCTTTGAAGAGAGCAGTGGTTCTCCTAGCATGGAGTTTGAGATCTGAAAATGGATAGACTGCCTCCTCAAGTGGGTCCCTGACCCCTGAGTAGCCTAACTGGGAGACATCTCCCAGTAGGGGCCAACTGACACCTCATACAGCCAGGCGCCCTTTTGAGACGAAGCTTCCAGAGGAAGGATCAGGCAGCAACATTTGCTGTTCTGCAATATTTGCTGTTCTGCAGCCTCCGCTGGTGATACCCAGGCAAACAGGGTCTGGAGTGGACCTCCAGCAAACTCCAACAGACCTGCAACTGAGGGTCCTCACTGTTAGAAGGAAAACTAACAAACAGAAAGGAATAGCATCAACATCAACACAAAGGACATCCACACCAAAACCCCATCTGTAGGTCAACATCATCAAAGACCAAAGGTAGATAAAACCACAAAGATGGGGAGAAACTAGAGCAGAAAAGCTGAAAATTCTGAAAACTGGAGTGCCTCTTCTGCTCCAAAGGATCGCAGCTCCTTGCCAGCAGCAGAACAAAGCTGGATGGAGAATGACTTTGACGAGTTGAGAGAAGTAGGCTTCAGAAAATCAGTAATAACAAACTTCTCCAAGCTAGAGTAGGATGTTCAGCCCCATTGCAAGGAAGCAAAAAACCTTGAAAAAAGATTAGACAAATGGCTAACTAGAATAAACAGCACAGAGAAGAACTTAAATGACCTGATGGATCTGAAAACCATGGCACGAGAACTATGTGATGCACACACAAGCTTCAGTAACCAATTCAATCAAGTGGAAGAAAGGGTATCAGTGATTGAAGATCAAAGGAATGAAATGAAGCAAGAAGAGAAGTTTAGAGAAAAAAGAGTAAAAAGAAACAAACAAAGCCTCCAAGAAATATGGGACTATGTGAAAAGACCAAATCTGCGTTTGATTGGTGTACCTGAAAGTGACAGGGAGAATGGAACCAAGCTGGAAAACACTCTTCAGGATATTATCCAGGAGAACTTCCCCAACCTAGGAAGGCAGGCCAACATTCAAATTCAGGAAATACAAATAATGCCACAAAGATACTCCTTGAGAAGAGCAACCCCAAGACACATAATTATTAGATTCACCAAGGTTGAAATGAAGGAAAAATGTTAAGGGCAGCCAGACAGAAAGGTTGGGTTGCCCACAAAGGGAAGCCCGTCAGACTAACAGCAGATCTCTCAGCAGAAATTCTACAAGCCAGAAGAGAGTGGGGGCCAATATTCAACATTCTTAAATAAAAGAATTTTCAACCCAGAATTTCTTATCCAGCCAAACTAAGCTTCATAAGTGAAGGAGAAATAAAATTTTTTACAGATAAGCAAATGCTGAGAGATTTTATCACCACCAGGCCTGTCTTATAAGAGCTCCTGAAGGAAGCAGTAAACATGGAATGGAACAACTGGTACCAGCCACTGCAAAAACATGCCAAATTGTAAAGACCATCAATGCTAGGAAGAAACTGCATCAACTACCGAGCAAAATAACCAGCTAACATCATAATGACAGGATCAAATTCACACATAACAATATTAACCTTAAATGTAAATGGGCTAAATGCTCCAGTTAAAAGACACAGACTGGCAAATTGGATAAAGAGTCAAGACCCATCACTATGCTGTATTCAGGAGACCCATCTCATGTGCAGAGACACACATAGGCTCAAAGTAAAGGGATGGAGGAAGATCTACCAAGCAAATGGAAAAAAAAAAAAGCAGGTTTTGCAATCCTAGTCTCTCATAAAAAAGACTTTAAACCAACAAAAATCAAAAGAGACAAAGAAGGCCATTACACAATGGTAAAAGGAATCAATTCAACAAGAAGAGCTAACTATCCTAAATATATATGCACCCACTACAGGAGCACCCAGATTCATAAAGCGAATCCTTAGAGACCTACAAAGAGACTTAGACTCTCACACAATAATAATGGGAGACTTTTAACACTCCACTGTCAACATTAGACAGATCAATGAGACAGAATGTTAAAAAGGGTATCCAGGAATTGAACTCAGCTCTGCACCAAGCAGACCTAATGGACAACTACAGAAGTCTCCACCCCAAATCAACAGAATATACATTCTTCTCAGCACCACATCACACTTATTCCAAAATTGACCACATAGTTGGAAGTAAAGCACTCCTCAGCAAATGTAAAACAACAGAAAACATAATAAACTGTCTCTCAGACCACAGTGCAATCAAATTAGAACTCAGGATAAGAAACTCACTCAAAACTGCACAGCTACATTGAAACTTAACAACCTGCTCCTGAATGACTACTTGATAAATAATGAAATGAAGGCAGAAATAAAGATGTTCTTTGAAACCAGTGAGAACAAAGACACAACATACCAGAATATCTGGGACACATTTAAAGCAGTGCGTAGAGGAAAATTTATAGCATTAATGCCCACAAGAGAAAGCAGGAAAGATCTAAAATTGACACCCTAACATCACAATTAAAAGAACTAGAGAAGCAAGAGCAAACACATTCAAATGCTAAGAATGTGAGCAAACACATTCAAATGCTAAGAAATAACTAAGATCAGAGCAGAACTGAAGGAGATAGAGACACAAAAACCCTTCAAAAAATCAATGAATCCAAGAGCTGGTTTTTTGAAAAGATTAACAAAATTGATAGACCTCTAGCAAGACTAATAAAGGAGAAAAGAGAGAAGAATAGAATAGATGCAGTAAAAAAAAATGATAAAGGGGGTATCACCACTGATCCCACAGAGATACAAACTGCCATCAGAGAATACTATAAACACCTCTATGCAAATAAACTAGAAAATCTAGAAGAAATGGATAAATTGCTGGACACATACACCCTCCCAAGACTAAACCAGGATGAAGTTGAATCCCTGAATAGACCAATAACAAGGCTCTGAAATTGAGGCAATAATTAAGAGCCTACCAGCCAAAAAAAGTCCAGGACCAGACGGATTCACAGCCGAATTCTACCAGAGGTACAAAGAGGTGCTGGTACTATTCCTTCTGAAACTATTCCAATCAATAGAAAAAGAGGGAATCCTCCCTAACTCATTTTATGAGGCCAGCATCATCCTGATACCAAAGCCTGGCAGAGACACAACAAAAAAAGAGAATTTTAGACCAATATCCCTGATGAACATCGATGCAAAAATCCTCAATAAAATACTGGCAAACTGAATCCAGCAGCACATCAAAAAGCTTATCCACCAAGATCAAGTTGGCTTCATCCCTGGGATGCAAGGCTGGTTCAACATATGCAAATCAAGAAATGTAATCTACCGCATAAACAAAACCAAAGATAAAAATCACATGATTATCTCAATAGATGCAGAAAAGGCCTTCAACAAAATTCAACAGCCCTTCATGCTAAAAATTCTCAATTAACTAGGTATTGATGGAACGTATCTCAAAATAATAAGAGCTATTTATGACAAACCCACAGCCAATATCTTACTGAATTAGCAAAAACTGGAAGCATTTCCTTTGAAAACTGGCACAAGACATGGATGTTCTCTCTCACCACTCCTATCTGACATAGTGTTGGAAGTTCTGGCTAGGGCAATCAGGCAGGAGAAAGAAAGAAAGGGTATTCAGTTAGGAAAAGAGGAAGTCAAATTGTCCCTGTTTTCAGATGACATGATTGTATATTTAGAAAACCCCATCGTCTCAGCCCAAAATCTCCTTAAGCTGGTAAGCAACTTCAACAGTCTCAGCATACAAAATCAATGTGCAAAAATCACAAGCATTCCTATACACCAATAACAGACAAACGGAGAGAGAAATCATGAGTGAACTCCCATTTACAATTATGGTCCAGTTCAACATCAAGAATATTTTTTCCCTGTTTTCTCCATTAATTTTAATTTCAGATCTTACATGTAAGTGTTTATTTCTATGTGTTTTTGTATATAGTGTGAGACAAGAGTCCACTTTCATTGTTCTGCATGTTGATATCCAATTTTTCCCAACACCAGTTATTGAAGAGATTATCATTTCTCCATTAAGTATTCTTGAGGCCTTTGTTGAACATCAATTGGCTAAATATAGTGTGGATTTATATCTGGTATCTCTATTCTATTCCAGTTGTTGAAAGTCTGTTTTTATGCCAGAACTATACTATTTTGATCATTAGAGCTTTTGTAGCATATTTTGAAATCAGGTATTGTGATGTCTCCATCTTTGTACTCCTTGCTCAAGATTGGTATGGCCGTTAGAGGTATTTCGTGGTTCCATATGAAGTTTAGAATTTTATTTTCTATTTCTGTAAAAATACCATTGGAATTGTTATAGGGATTGCACTTAATCTGTGGATAATGTTGAGTGATATGAACATTTAAAAATATTAATTTTTAAAATGTGAAAATGGGATATACTTCCGTTTATCTGTGTCTTCTTCAATTTCTTTCATCAATATTTTACAGTTTTCACTTTATAGACCTTTCATCTCTTTGGATAAATTTATTCCTAAGTATTTTTGATGCTATTATAAATGAGACTATTTCCTTAATTCTTTTCCTGATGGTTTCTTGTTAGTGTACAGAAATGCAATGATTTGTGTATGTTGATTTTGTGTTCTGCAATTTTACTAAATTTATTTATTAATCTTAACAGGTTTTCTTGTGGGGTCTTTAGGGCTTTCTATATATATGAGTATTTTATAAACGGGGACAGTTTAACTTCTTCCTTTATGATTTGTGTGACTTTTATTTCTTTCTCTTGCCTAATTGATCTGGCTAGGTCTTCTAGTACTATGCTGAATAGACTTGGCAAGAGAGAGAGCATCCTTGTCTTAGAGGACTCCTGATCTTAAAGGAAAAGCTTTCAGTTTTTCACCATTGAATATGTCAGCTGTGGGCTTATAATATATGACCTTGATTATGTGGAGATACAGTTTTTCTATACCAAATTTGTTGAGAGCTTTTTTTAATCAAGAAAAGATGTTGAATTTTGTCGAATATGTCTATTGAGATGATCATTTGGTTTCTGTTCTTTGTTTTATTAATGTGATGTACTTGTGTATGTCAAGACACTGTTGCTTCTCTGGGGTAAATCCAGCTTGATTATGATGAATGTTCCTTTTGAATTGGGTTTGCTATTATTAACAATTTGTTGAAGATTTCTGCGTCTATGTTCATCAGGAATATTGCCCTGCAATTTCCTTTTCTTATAATGTCCTTGTCTGGCTTTGGCATCAGGGTGATCCTGATCTTGTAAAATAAGTTTGGAAGTATTCCCTCTTTTTGACTCTTTTGGAAGAGTTTGAGAAGAATTAGTATTAGTTCTTCTTTAAGAAGGAGCCCTACAAGACAAAGATGCCCTATCTTGCTGAGTCTATTGAACACAGTATTGGAAGACCCAAATCATAAAGGAAGAAGTTACATTGTCCCTGTTTGGTAGAATTCAGCAGTAAAGCCATCAGGTCCTGGGATTTCTTTGATGGGGGACTTTTACTGATTCAATCTCCTTTTTTGTTATTGGTCTTTTCAGATTGTCTATTTCTTTATGATTCAGTCTTGGGAAGTTATGTGTCTAGAAATTTATTCATTTCTTCTAAATTATCCTATTGATGTATAATTGTTCATAGTAGTCTTATGATCCTTTGCATTTCTGTAGTAGCAGTCATAATGTCTCCTCTTTCACGTATAATCATATTTGAGTTTTCTCTTTTTTCTTAAGTTAGCTAAAAATTTGTCAATGTTGTTTATCTTTTCAAAAAACCAACTTTTAATTTTATTGATCTTTTCTACTTTTTCCTGTATCTATTTCACTTATTTCCACTCTGATTATTACTACTTTCTTCCTTTTGCTAACTTTGGACTTACTTTTTCTTCTTTTCCTAGTTTCTGGAGGTGTAAAGTTAAGTTGTTTATTTGAGATCATTGTCTTTTCTTAATGTAGGCACTTATCACTATAAACTTCTTTCTCAGAACTGCTTTTGTTGTATTTCCATTTTTGTTTTTCCAGGATATTATTTGACTACATTTTGAATTCTTCTTTGACCCATTGGTTGTTCAGTAGCATGTTATTTGATTTGCACATATTTGTGAACTTTCTAATTTATTCCGTTATTGATTTTATTTTTATATCATTGTGGTAGGAAAATATAACTGATATAATTTCAATCTTCTTAAATCTGTTAAGACTTGTTTTGTGGCCTAATGTATGATCTAGCCTGGGAAGTGCTTCGTGTGTGCTTGAGAAGAATATCTATTCTGTTGCTATTGGATGGAATGTTATGTATTCACTTGTTAGGTTCATTTGGCCTATGATGTTGTCGAGTCTGCTCTTTCCTTATATATATATATATTTTTTTTTTGTCTGGATGGTCTATCTATTGTTGAAAACAGAATATTGAAGTCCCCTGCTATCATCATATTGCTGTCTACATTTCCTTTTAGTTATGTTAATATTTACTTTATAAATTGAAGTGCTTTGTTGTTGGGTGCATATATAATTGTCATATACACACACACACACACACACACATATATATATATACTCATGTCATATATATGCAATTATACTCTTGATAAATTGACTCCCTTATAATTATTGGTGACTTTTCTGTGTTTTTTGATGGATTTTGACTTAAATTCAATTTTGTCTGATATAAGTATTCCCACCCCTGCTCTTTTGATTATCATTTACACGGAATATCTTTTTCCATCCCTTCACTTTTAGCCTATGTGTGTTCTTAAAGTGAGTCTCTTAGGTAGCATGTAGTTGGTTTTTCGTTTTGTACTCATTCAGCCCCTCTATGTCTTTTGATTGGATAATCTACTCCATTTACATGTATAGTAGTTATTGATAGGTAAAGACTTATTATTCCCATTTTGTTCATTGTTTTTTCACTGTTTTGTAGTTTTAAAAAATTTCTTTCTTCTTTTCTTACTGATTTTCTTTGTGACTGATGATTTCTTTGTAATGATATACTTTGATTCCTTTCTGTTTATCTTTTGTATATCTTATATAGGTTTTTCTTTGTGGTTACCATAAACCTTACATAAAACATTTTAATATTTTAGAATTATAACAGTCTATTTTTAGCTGATATTGACTTCAACCATATCCAAAATATCTACACTTTTATTTCTTCTCATCTCATTTTTTATTTTATTGATGTCACAATTTACATCTTTTTCTACTGTAAACACATTAACACATTATTATAGCTATATTTTTAATACTTTTTTCATTTAACTTTTATACTACAGTTAAAAGTGATTTACATGCCATCATTACAGTATTAGGGTACAGACTCTGACTATAGTCTTATCTTTACAGCGAGTTTCAAACTTTCATACGTTTTCATGCTGCTAGTTAGCAATGGTTTCATTCTTAAAGAATACCCTTTAGCATTTCCTGTAAGGGAGGTCTAGTGGTAATAAAATTCCACAGCTTTTGTTTGACTGGGAAAGTCTATCTCTCATTTCTGAAGCACAGTTTTGCCATGTAGAGTATTCTTTCTTGGCCCTTTTTTCTTTCAGTACTTTGAATATATCATCCCACTCAAAACTAGCCTGTAAAGTTTCTGCTGAGACATCTGCTCATATTCTTATAAGGGTTCTTTTGAATGTGATTACTTTTCTGTTGCTATTTTCAAAATTCTCCCTTAGATCTGAGACTTTTGAGAATTTTATTATAATATGTCTCAGTGAGGATCTCTTCAGGTTTAATGTATTTGGGATTCTTTAGGTTTTATGGATCTGGATGACAATCTTTCCTTTCAGATTTGAGAAATTTTCTGTCATTATTTCTATAAATAAGCTTTCTTCTCCTCTCTCTTTCTCTTCTCCTTCTGATGTGGCCATAATGCATAAAATGGTTTGTTTTATGGTGTTCCATAAAACTTGTAGGTTGTTTTTTACTTCTTTTAAAATTAGTTATTATTATTCATTTGGTAATTTCAAATGACTTATCTTCAAGGTTGCTGATTCTTTTTTCTGCTTGATTGGGTCTACTGTTGAAGAAGTCTGTGGAAAGTTTTGACTCAGTCATTGTGTTCTTTAGCTCCAGTATTTCTGTTTAGTTTCTTTTTGTGGTTTCTTTGTTGAACTCATTAGTTCATGTATTGATGTATTGGTTTTCTTCTGATTTTACTTAATTGTCTTTCTGTATTCTCTTGTAGCTTTTTTTTTTTTTTTAAGTTAAGGTCTTGCTTTGTCATCCAAGCTGGAGTGCAGTGGCTCAATCATGGTTCACTGTAGCCTCAAACTTCTGGGATCAAGCGATCCTTTCACCTCAGCTTCCTGAGTAGCTATAGGCACTATATGGAATACAGGCAAGCATCACCATACCTAGCTAATTAATTTTCTTTTTCTTTTTTTTTTTTTTTAAGAAATGGGATCTTTCTATGTTGCCCAGGCTGGACTTGAACTCTTGGGCTCAAGTGATTCTCCTGCCTTGGACTTTCAAAGTGCTGAGATTACAACTGTGAACTATTATACCCAGCCTAACTGAACTTCTTAAAGATGATTGTTTTGAATTATTTATTCCACAGTTTGTAGGTCTCTTCTTTCTTTAGGGACTATACATATGCTTTATTTTGTTCCTTTAATGGGTGTCATGTTTTTCTGAGTACTTGTGATCCTTCTGGCTTTGCATTGGGATCTGCACACTTGAAGAAGTAGGCACCTCTTCTAGTGTTTACAGACCGGCTTTGGCAGGGAAAGTCCGTCATCATTTCACCCTTCTAGAGATACTAGGTAGGACAGCCAATGGGGTACATGCATGCTTGCTTCTGAAGTCCTTGGTGCAAGGGAGGGAGGCTTCCTGGTGCCTGGGTCAGTGGGCTGGAGGGTCTGGCTCCCAGGTCTGCAAAGACTATCCCAGGGCCTTGATCTTTGGGGATAGGCCTAGCATCTGGGTCCAGTGGTGTGGGTCTAGAGCTTGGCTGAAATACAGCCTGAGTCTGCAGGTGCGGGCCTCCTGCTGGAGTCCACTAGGGCGGGCATGGTGATGAGGGTGAGGCCAGGCCTGGAGCCTTGGTGCATATATGCAGGCATCGTATCTAGTTATATATGGCTGAGCCTGGAGCCGGGGCCATGTGTGCCAGTTTGGTGTTGGCACCCACTGAGGCAGTCCTGGAGACTGAGCTCATAGGGGCAAGCCTGGGTCCTGGGTCTTTAGGGACTCCTTTAGAATCTGGAGCTATCAAAGCTATCCTTGCACTGCTGTAGGCCTGAAACCTGGGTCCCAGTGGGCCATCCTCACACTGGGGTGGGCCTGGAGTCTGAGTCCACAGGGGCAGATCTGGTGCCTGGGCCATAGGGTAGGACTAAGAACTGGTTCTGTAGGTGCTAGCTTGATGCTGAACTGACCTGGATCCCGAGTCTGTAGGGGAGGGCCTGGGTCTTGGTTTCATGCGGGCTGGCCTGGAGCCTGGGGCTACACAGGTGCCATCCTGGCACTGGGGTGGGCCTGGAGCTTTGATCTGTGGCCCACAGATGTACGTGGCTTATTGCCTGGGAACACGGAATGGGCCTGAAGTCTGGGTCCATGCTGGTGGACCTGTAGCCCAGAAATATGGGGGTGGGCCTGGAGCCTGGGTCTGCTCAGGCCTGATGCTGAGGTTGTTAGGAGTCTGAGTTTGTGGGGGCAGGCATGGGTCCTGGGTCTACTTGGGCTGATGTAGAATGACTGCAGCAAGCCTGAAGCCTGGGGCCATGGTGGCTGGCCTGGAGCTTGGGTCCTTAAGAGCTAGCCTAGTGCTAGGGTATGCCTGGAACCTGAAGCCATAGGGTTGTTCTGGTGCTGTCATGGGCCTAAAACCTGGGTGTACAAGGGCAGGTCTGGCACCAGTGCATGCCTGGAGCCTGGGTCCATGGTGTGTGGCCTGGAGCCTGAGTCTGTGGGAGCAGGTATGGGTTCTGGCTTCATGAGGCCTATCCGGCCTTGGGCCAGCCTATAGCCTGTGCTGGGTCAGGCCTGGGGACTGTGTCTGTAGGGAGTGGCCTATAGCCTGGAGTTGCAGGGACCAGTCTGGTGCTGGGGTTCACAGCAATATCAGGTGATCAGTTTGTACTTCCGCCAAGCACAGGGTATCTCTTTCTATACCATACTTACTGAGCTAGGGGGAGGGATAATGAGGGTAATGTGAAACTGTCCTTTCTGCCTTCTTCAAAGCATCTTTTTCTTATTTATGTGCTCCTGTCAGGTGCTGTAATCTCTCACCTGAATTTCTTAGCTCTTGTGAAGTTATTTCCATGTGTGTATGGAAGCTGTTCAAACTGATATTTCTGTGAGGAGATGAGTGCTGGTCTCTCATCTCATCCTCTTGCTGATGTCACTCTCAGGGTCATTAAAGACATTATTTGTTGTATCATTTTTAATTTCCACTATTCCTTTTTGTTTTTTTCTTTAAATTTTCTTTTTTCTACTTACATTACCCATCTATTTTTGCGTGTTGTCTACTTTTTCTGTTGAAGCCCTAACACATTAATCATATTTGTTATTTTAAATTCCTGTCTTATTCTAACATGGAATGTCATGTCTGAGACTGTCCTGATGATGCTTGCTTTGTCTCTTCAGACTATGTGTCTTCTTTTCTTTTAGTATACCTTGTAAGTTTTTTGCTTGATGTGATATATTAGATAATAAGAACTTTCATAATTAGGCTTATAGAGTAAGGATTTATGTTAATTTTGCTGAGAGTTGGTCCGTGTTTATGTTTGCTGTAGCTAATATGTGCCAGAAGCTTTAAATTCCTCTAGTGTCCTTGATGTTTCTCTCCTGTTGACTTTGGACACCCTTAAATGTTCCTCCTCAAAGACAGTGGACATCTTGAAGCTCTTTCAGCTATGGTCCACTGTTGTTATACCAGAGTGCTGTTGCTGTGCAAAGGAACGCAAGAGGTGAAAAATTCTGTAATCTTACAATTAAACACTACTCTTTCAGTGGGCCTGTGTTTTAGGGCTATGACTTTGGTAAGTGTTTTGCCAGTGGTATAGGTTTCCCTTAGGCCTCTTCTCTACTTCTCCGGCCGTAGCATTCCTAACCTATTTCCTTGAAGCTTTAACTCCTGCTTCTGGCTGAAGGATCTTTGTTGGCTCTTCGCTGTGAGAATCTGGTGGGATTCCTTGAGGTAAAGCCAACAAAATTGTGGGGCCTCCCTAAGTCTGTGACCCCAGGAATTTTACACTCTCATGCTAGTCCATTCAGCCTTTGCAATGTGGCAAAATTACCATTTAAGTGCTCCTACCATTTTATGAGCTCCAGAGACTTCTACCCCAGGTAAGCAAATCTTTCCTGGAATACTGTGAATCTCTGGATTTGGCTGTCTTTCCAGATATCTAGATAGAAATTTACCCTGTAATCTCAGTTCTCTCAAGAAAAGTCGTTGCATTTCTGTTTGTTCAGCTCTTTCTTATTGTAAGAACAGGAGTGATGATTTCCAAGCTCTTTACATGTCTGAGCTTATAGTAGAGTTACTCATGTATAGTTGAATCCTGAAGTGCACAGTATTGGTGAACCTTGAAAAAAAGTAACTGAAGAGTAGAACATGAAAAGAAATGAGGAAATATTTTCTAGCTTAAATAAGTTTATGGAACAATTTTGATCTGTGGCTGTGTCAAAGTTAGTAAACTAGATGACAATTTACTTTTTCTCCAAAAATTTATATGAGCTATACTTTCAATTTGGGTAATCAATGAAATTCCCCATTTTGCTTCCCATGCATATAAGACACTGCTTTGATGACCAGTTGACATGAGAAAGATTTTTCATAGGAAGTGGCATAAAATTTAGTGATTCATAAAGTGTGTCATGGGACTGTATAGATATTATTATTTTGTATGTAAAACTGTCTTCAAAAGACCACAATGATCTCGGTTTCACTGAGAAGTCACATGTTGATGCAAACCTTATGTTCACACAGTGGTTGCCTTTTAGTACATCAAACGTTAGTGAACATCATTAGATCAAATGACTGTAAAAGGTCTTAAGTGGAATGATTTTGATCTGCTCTACACATTTCCCACTGGATTTTTGTCCACATTACATAATCGCTGTACATTTGGCACAGTATGTTGCCTTTGAAAAAGCTTCAAGATTAAGAAAGCATGAAGACAGGATTGCCCATAAAATCAGAAAGGAGCACTAGAAATATATATGCTGCAAAAACTAAAACCTTTCTTCCTCATTCAGTGTAAACTAAAAGCTCATGCTGAGCTAAAGCTTTATGATTAAGAACTCAACGTAGATAAACATTAAAAGCTATTTCACACTATTTGTCTTCTGATTTGGCAAGACATCAGTATTAAAAAATCTATTTAGTAATGATTTCTAAAATTCTTAACCCTGTACAGAAGGTCTTATTTACTCTACCGTGGTCAAACAGCCTGGAAAAATTAAAATAAAAAAAAAATAGTCAATTTGCATAGGACAAGTTAGTCTGAGAGCATTTCTTCTTTAAGAGAGCATAAAAGTGAAAGAAGATCCCCTGGATGTGGGTAGTTTTAGAGGGAATATTGACAACTGAGCAAATATTAAGCATACTTTTCCAAATTGAGATCATTTGCATTTAGCTTTTAATATACAGCCTTCCCTTTTCCTATCTCATAGCAGCTTCTTCAGTGTAATTAGATTTAATTAGAAGCAGTGACATCAACTTCAAAAGCTGTGGATTGTGCTCAGAAGTCACCTTTGGAATCACTATAAAATGTTTGCCCATTTTAGTAAGCAAGACATTTAAACTTGCAGTCTGTTTAACCAGAAAAGAATAAAAGTGAAAGAGATGTTTGTGGTGATTCAAAGGTGACTTTTGAGCACATTCCACAGCCTTTGAAGTTGTCACTGAGCCTAATTAAACTTCTCCTTCGTGTTTATTCTTTTGCAATTAAATGGACTTCAAGTTTAAATGTTCTTTTACAAGGAATTTTAATTATTACAAATGCAAAGTTTTATTTAGGGCCTGTTTCCACCTAGCCGTAATCAATAATATTATTTCCATGAGTAAGAGAGGTTAGGAGGCCCAAGCAACAAAATCAGAGTGAACATTTTGGAAAACAATATTTGTTGGGAATAGCCCAGGGGAATATCAAAAGATGTGCTGGAGCAAGCTTTCACCAGCTCATCAGAGCTAATTGTTAAATTTTCACTAATTTTGCAAGCCAGTTGTTCAAGGCCATCATCATCATCATCATCATCATCATCATCATCATCATCAGTCATCATTTGAGGCACATCTTGCTGTGTCACCCAGGCTGGAGTGCAGTGGCACAATTATGGCTCACTGCAACCTTGACCTCCTGGGCTCAATTGATCCTCTTACCTCAGCCTCCCAAGTAGTTGGGACTGCAGGCATGCATCACCATGCCTGGATAATTTTTGTATTTTTTCTAGAGACAGGATCTCCCTATGTTTCCCAGGCTGGTCTCTAATTTCTGGGCTTAAGTGATCTGCCCTCAAGGCCATTATTAAAAATATTTGTAATGCAAGCTTACAATTAAATAAATTATATTGAAATAAAAAAGATGTATTTAAATACATTATTTCCTAATTCATTTACTGCTTTTTACTGTTACCTTTGCCTTCATGATTATTCACATTGACTATATCATAGTGGAAATACTGAACAATGATGTATTATTGTGTATCTCTTCATAATTCCCTATCCATCGATGCCACATCAGTAGTTTGAATCAGCCATGGTGGTAGCGTTTACACCATGAAAATTACTAAATGTTAATAATTGGGGATTGAATTATTGTTTTGTTGATTGTACAAACTTAAGAAAGTGATGGAGAAAATGTTAACCCGGCAGGTTAAATTTCAGTGCCTCGCTTGTGTTCATTACATTATGAATAGCATAAAAATTGAGGAGCTAGTCTTCCAATATTTGAAAATTATTATTTGATTCAATGAAGTTACTCATACATAACTGACAAATAGGTGCATTCTGCTATATCTTTACTGTATCACTTTCATCTTTCTCATTATATTGTGTGCTACATGCCCTTTATATTGGTACAATTTATAATTAACTTGTGTACATAGATGCACACACACTTTTTTTTCCCCCAGAGAAGTAGTTGTTATACCAGCAAGCCACTAGAAGTATATAAGAAACCATGAGGGTAGGGCTATATTTGAGATTCTATAGTAGTATTGGTAACAATTATCTTGATATGTAATAGGGAAAAGAACTTTTCATGATATAGAATTAATTGCCTATTGTGAAATCAACAATTTTATTGAGCTGCCAAATTGCTACCTGCTTTTCTTAAAGTAGCATTAACTTCTTTTTGTTAGTGTAGTGTCTCCATGCTTCTAAAGTTGATGTAGTAACAGGATGTTGGCTTCAGCTTATAGGCTCCCTTTATGAGTGCTGTTTTGGTGAGGAGTGCATCGGAATAACTTACTGAACCCTTTTTTTTTCTCAGAATTCTGCCAACCTTCTGAGTCAACATTTAAGACCCTTGTCTTTGACAGATATCATTTATAGGTTTGAAGATACACATACTAATTTTGGTAAAATTTAATTTTCAATTATAGCAAATAATGTTCATTGGTTTTGTTTTTAGTACATTTTGTATTTCTTTCTATTATAAAAGAGATTTTTTCCTAGGTGCTTTTCTTAAGTCTGTGTTCAGCTTTCTTCCACTCTTACTTGATTTAATATGTGACTACATGGTTCAAAACGGAGAAAAGAAAAAAAAAGCAGCAGATTTAGAGGTCATTAGATTATGACTGCAGAGTTACATAATGGTTTTCTCATGCATGTCCGCTAATTTATTGTTTCCATGTCTGAGATGGACAGAGGTTAATGGGCAGATGGAGAGAAGCTTCATCTTAGGGCATAAAAAATTTCTTTCTTTACATCTCTCTTCCCCTTATTTTTTAACTTAGGTCAAAAAATATTAATAGAGAGTGATCACTGCATAGAGGACATTCTTCCTAGAAAGATTTCTGTCTTCATTGTGGGAAATATTTGATGCTCTGCTTAGAGTGTCCTAAATTATAAAATAGATAGTTGTTTTTGAATATATCCCATCCTTGGAGGGGAAGACCAGTTCTCACGTTATATTGTTCACAAGTGATAGGCATGGAAAAAGTGCTCTGAGTAGTTATCTCTTTTTAGGATTTCATTGTAATATTGGGGAATCTGTGGTTATTTAGTAGGCTGTTTGTGGACTACACAGAGACTAGTGTTCCAAATCCTTCTCTGCTTCTATCTAGACATGCTGCCTAAATTGGAGATGCCTTTCCCATGTCTTAAATGCCATGAAACCTAATGAATTAGGGCACAGGACCTGCTCACATGTACCAGTTTGAGTTTTGTAACAGTCTGTAGACCTCTCTGCTAGGATCCTGAGTTGGGTTTTTAGGTGATATTGACAGATAAGGATTTAAAACTTACTTTTTGAATAGAGGAATACAAAGAATCACAATACAAATACAAATTAAAAACATAAATTATATAAAATGTGAAAAATTTAAATGCTGTACTATGTCCCATCCACCTAGTCCATGCTCTCTTTCCACACAAGTTAATCACTTGAATGAACATATTTTCTTTTGTATATTCCCAGATGTGTGTATGTGTATGTGTGTGGGTGTGTTTTAACACAAATTCAAGAAGGTGGGAATGACTGTTACATACATAATTATAATTTTACTGAACAATCACATTTCTGAAATCTGTCCAGAGATATATTGGTACACATTAACATGAAGGTCTACAAAATATTTATTGCAGTATCGATTGCTGTAGCAAAAAAAAAGAAACAAAACCAATTTCTATCAGTAAGGCACTGGCTAAAGAAATTATGGTACATCCATAAATACAATACCCTGCATTTGTGAGGGAAAAAAGAGGGGAAACTTTCTATGCACTGAAATACTGAAATGGAAATATTCCAACAGGTATATATTGTTAAGGGAAAAAATGTTGCAAAACAATGTGTTTAGATGCTGACTTTTGCACTTAAAAAGAGGAAATAAGAAAGGCTTTTGACAGGAAAATCAACTTTTCAAAAATATATTTTCTCAACAAAAGGCTGAAAGCAGAAACAATTCTATCACTGAATGAAACTTCAAGGGGAATAGAAAAAAAATGCCAACTATTAAATGTATGAATCCCAAGTGGGTAATTTGATTGCATTCTAGTTTTGAATAATGCAATAGTGAAAAATTGGGAACAAAACTAGAAAAGTGTTAAATAAATTATGGTATGTCTACATAATGCAATACAATTCATTAAAATGAAATTTACAGCAGTGGAATATGCTTTTTAAAATATATAAATCATGTAAAGAAAGAAAAAAGTAGGCCAAGAATTGTCTAATGAGTTAGTATTATTAATACATTTGTTAAAAGATAGCAGAAAATATACAAAAAGACACACAGCAATTATCTTTGGATATGGAATTATGGGAGATTTTGCCTTCTTAATTAAACTAGTCTTTATTTGCTGAAATTTCAATGCTGATTTCACATTGCTGGAAAAGATGGAAAAATAAGCCTTATTTTAAAAGGTGATTGAATCTTTCTGGGAGGTGGTAATTGAAGAAAATAACTCAAACTTGGTTCCTTTGTTAGTTAGGAGGAGAGGAATATAATTCATTCTTGGCATGAAAGGTGACTCATTCTCCCCCTCCTTTTCGTCTTCTTCTTTCCTAGGTCAAACAGTTTGAGTCTAAATATTTAGCTCAGTAGCTCAGTAGTTGGCTTGTCAGTAATATGGTAGATATTTAGAGTTATTATCCAACAAAAATCCTCTTATTTTAGTAATATTTTATAATGTGCTTTTAAAAATATAATAAAAATATTAGCTTTGATTCTATTAACATTCATTATTCAGTGATGTGTTAAATCTTCCGGGGTATAAAATATTTTGCATTCCTGCAAGGCTGAAATTGGTTGACTTAGGCAAGAAGATTAATGAATTTGAGGGTCAGGTGTCCAAAATTTTCAAGAAAAGTATGTTATTAAGTAAAATAATTTTGTAGCAGAAAGAAGACATTGTTGTTTAGCTCTATCATGAATCTTTCTTTAATCACTGTTTAACTGTTCATTTTTATTTATTTAAATAGATTTATTTAAATAGATTACTTTCAAGTTCGTCTTAGTGCCTATGGAATTCATCTCTTTCTTTGTATTTGTATAATTTGTGTTTAAACTTCTGTAATAGTCCTCAATCTCTCATCTCAAACTGAAGTTACCTTTGATTTCCTATTCTTCACTTCACACAACTAATAAATAACCATATATGGTCATTTTACATCCTACACTTTTCATTTCTATCCAGTTACTTATGTATTTGTTAACATACCTCAATCTGTTTCACCTTCATCTTTTGCCTAGATTATTAGATATAATCATATTCTCATTGGTTGCCCTAATTATTTCTTCTCCTACTTTCCTATGTTACACCTTAATTCTTTTTTTTTTTTTTTTTTTTTTTTGAGACAGAGTCTCACTCTGTCACCCAGGCTGGAGTTCAGTGGTGTGATCTTGGCTCACTGCAACCTTTGCCTCCTGGATTCAAGTGATTCTCCTGCCTCCCCTTCCCGTGTTGCTGGGATTACAGGCTCCTGCCACCATGCCAGGCTAATTTTTCTATTTTTAGTAGAGATGGGGTTTCACCATGTTGGCCAGGCTGGTCTCAAACTTCTGACCTCCTCCCCCCTCAGCCTCCCAAAGTGCTGGGATTACAGGCGTGAGTAACTGCACCCGGCCATCACACCTTAATTCTTTTAGAAAAGTGTACAAATTTAAAAAAATATTTTATAGAAAGCGCCACAATCCAAAGCTATAACTATATGCATAGTGATGGATACAGAGTAATGAATCACATCCAAGTCAAATATACATATTTTATGAGATTCTAATCTTTCTTTGTAAAAATATTATTGTAAATAAGTCATTAATATTTATCTTTCCTGTTAGACTTCAAGCTCTGTGAAAACAGAGGCAATATCCTTTCAGTCATGTATCCTTGGTTCTTGGTTCACAGTAAACTCTCAAGGTATGGTTTTTGAATGAGTAAATCAACATAGCTAGCAGAGTTGTTTCCTGTAACCCCTGTTTGGGATTCAACATGCTTTCTAAATTGTTATTTAATAAGTTTGGGGAAATTCCTGGGCACTTTTGTGCTCCATAATCTTCTCCTTATCCTCGTGACTCCAGTGACATATACGTTAGAGTATTTGATTATGTCCTGTTGTTTTTGTTGTTGTTCTTGTTATTCTTTTTTGCTCTCTGTGTGTTTTAGATTTGGATATTTTCTGTGGACTTTGTTTTGACTTCTCTATTTCTGCCTTATGCTGTGTCCAACCTACTGTTATATTAATCAAATGAGTTATTAATTTCAAACAATGCATTTTTCAGTTCTAGAATGTCAGTTGCACTATTTATTTGCTTTTATAAATTTAGGGCACACAAGATAATTTTTGTTATACAGATATATTGCCTAATGGTGAAATCTGGGCTTTTAGTGTAACCATCACCCAAATAGTGTACATTGCACCCATTATGTAATTTCTCATCCCTCACCATCCTTCTGCCCTCCCACCCTTTGGAGCTTCTAGTGTCTATTATTTTACATTTTATGTCCATGTGTACACATGATTTAGCTCCCACTAATAAGTGAGAATTTGCAGTATCTAACTTTTTGTTTCAGAGTTACTTCACTTAAAATAATGGTTTCCAGGTCCATCCATGTTGCTGCAAATGACATGATTTCATGCTTTTTTTAAAATAAATCTCATTTTTTTATAGATCTCAATTCTCTATTGAAATTCTCCATCTTTTCTTCCATTATAATCATTTTTCCTATGTGTTCTTTAGCAAATTTATGAGTGGTATATTAAAGTATTTTTTACAGACAAGTTTGGGAACCATATATCAGTCTTTTTCTCTTTGTTGTTTCAGTGATTTCCAATCACTTAGTTATAGTTTTAAAGCATGTGTCATTTTTTTTACTGGATGTTAGTCATTGTGAAAGATAAACTTCAGAGTCCCTAGAAACAATGTTCTTACATAGAAATGTGATTTTTGGGAGGTAGAGAGACAGATAAAGTAGCAGTGAATTACCTTAATCTGTAGAGGTTGATTTTGGACTTTGTGTGTGTATGTATAATTTAACATAGCCTCCAGTATTAGAGGATGGCTTTTCTGCGGTGCCAATGAAAATCTAAGTTGTTTACCAAGATCCTCTAAGTTGATTGGACTTGAATTACAAACTTTATCTCCCAGAATTAGGCAGCTATTGAAATCTTTGCTAAGCTCTTTGGCTTTCTAGATGTTGCTTTCTTCTGGAGTGCATGTGCCGTTATGAAGTCAGTTAATGCTCAATGGGAATGTATGTGCATATTTTGGGCTCCTTCTTGTGCAGTTACCTTTGCTTTGGATTTGTCCTCAATTTATAGCTACTCCTTCAATCCTAAATTCCAGCTCTTGTTTGTTTCATCAATTTACTAAGAATTTTCGCTTCTGTTTGAGCTCTAATACCTGTATGGTGGCATCAAACTGAAAAGTGCTGTCAGAGGAAAAGTCAGATACATGTGTAATTTACCTCCTGTGCCTCTCCCTCTCTCTCTTTTTTCTTTTTTTTTTTCTTTACAAATAGTAAATCCTAAATTTTCACCTGCTGTGGATGCTTTCCAATGCCTTCAAATTACTTTTGCTATGTATTATATCAATTTCCTAGTGGGGCATAACAAAGTGCCAAAAATGAGGTGACTCAAAACAACAGAAATTTATTGCCTTGCATTTTTGCAGGCTATCAGTACAAAATCAAGGTGTCATCAGGTCATGCTGTCTCTGATGGTCAGACAGAGGAGTCAGTCCCTCCTTGCCTCCTGCAGCTTCTGGTGTGTGTTGGCAATTGCTGAATTTTCTTGGCTTGAGGATGCATCCCATCAATCAGGTGGCCATCTTCTCCCTGGGGCTCCTCACATCATCTTCCCTTTGTGTGTGTCTGTCTCTATGTCCAAATTTCAACTTTCTGTGAGGAAACAGTCATATTGGATTAGGAACTGGCTTAAGGATTTCATTTTAATTTGACTCCCTTGCAAAGTCTCCATTTGTATGAAGTTTCAGAACAAGCGAAACCAATTGATTATGATAAAAGACACAATAGTGGGTTACATGGAGAAAAAGGGGTAGGAGAGAAAATTTATGTGGTGAGAAAATATTTTGTCTTAATCTGAGCAGTGGTTACATAGGTGTATACATATATAAAAATCATTGAATTTAGGATGAATGCACTTCATACATCTTTCTGAGGGAATAAAATTATCCCTCAATCTCTCAGTGACCCTCTCCAGGAACAGCAGCTATATTTAGAGGTAAATCATCCCTGAAATATGAGCACAGAATTAAAAAAAAAAAAGGTTCGGCTTTTTAAGTTGTCATCAGCAGGATAATATGTTACTTACTTTGCCATTATGGGAACTAGACCGCTATTCACTGGAAATCCTTATACCCATTGAGCCCCTTGGTAAATAATCACGTTGGATCTATTACATCTAACCTTGGAATATTCTCACTGATTTTGAAAATTGAGCGAAAATTAGCATAAGTTTTAACTTTTTTCTGTATCAAGGCCTTGCTAAGTTTCTTATTTCCCCATTTAATTAGCCCAGTTCCATAATTATTAAATTAGATGATCAGATTATTTGTTTCCATGTAACATTACAATTCTCTTCTGGAAAAATCACACCTTTCCTTGCTGCTTCCATTTTCTTTACTGTTTGTGTTTATTTAACAGTTTGAAAAATCAACCATTTCATTTGTATGATTAAACTGGCCCTTCTTTTAAAATTATTTGTTCATTTTATCCTTCCCCTCTCTTAACATACACTACTAGTTCTTCATGAATGTGTTCTAATTTATATGTGGTTTGGAAATGTTCCTAAGAATTACTCATGTGCATGTTGTGTGGCAGCAACTGAGTTATAAACTATACTTGTAAAGGACTTTATCTCTCCTATATTCCAAATGTAACACAGAATGTCCAGCACAGGTTCTTATCATACAATAGGTATTCTAGAAAGTCTATTGACTGTGTGACATCCAAGACTATTCAAGTTTCTTTTCTTTTGCTGAACTCAGTGATACTACGTTTAACCCTTCGCAGCAATTCTAAATAGTATTCTGTAAGATTGAATAGCTGGGTTAATTCTGTGCTTTGCAAGGACTATGTTAAAGTGAAAATGTCTATCTAGATGCTTATATTTATGTGCTAACTACCTTTGATCTTCCGTATTAATTTATAACTTTTACATTTCTAAAGCACACATCATTGGAATTATATACAGAACATTTTTCAACTATGTTCACATCTGGCATATATAATTTAAAAAATTCAGATAAAACTTAAGCCAAAAGGGGGAATAAAACCTAGATTCTGAAATATCCAGATAAAAATGTATTATTTTTAAAAATGAAGTCATTCACTTACTCATGAATTTAGCAAACAATCTATTGAAAGACCACCAAGTATTAAAATTGTTTTAGGCAATGTGTTCTTGCTTTGACAGAGCTGATGTGCCAGTGACAGAGACAGAAAAAAATCAACAGATTAACAGGTTATTTAATGTAATTTGTAGTGGCTACACATTAATAAAAATAAATTAGTATAAAGGAATTACACATGAAAGGATGAATATCAAAGATGGGTTGGTCATGGAAAGCCTTTCTTAGTTCACGATCTTTGAACACAGACATGAATAAAATATAGGAGCAAGTTATGATAAGATCAATGACTTGTTCCAGACAAAAAGAATAGCAAGCATGAAGATATTGAGGTAGGAATAAGCCTTGATGTATTCCAGGAAGTGGAAGAAGGACATGGTAGACAAACTGTAGTGTGCAAGAAGGAACATATGAAGAAATGAGATTGGTAGTATTGATAAAAGCTAGATTATGAAAACAAGGATTGGGAGTTTTAATTTCATTCTAAATAGGTTGAAAAGCCAGATTTTAGATAGGGAAGATTTTAGATAGGTTAGTAATAATATGTGGTATGATAGAGACTTAAAACTTTCCCTCTGGCTACTGTGTGGAAAAAAGATGGGAACAATGAGGTAAGTTATAAGCCATTATAGTAATTTAGAAGGCAGATAAAGGTAACTGGGAATAGAGTGGTAGCAGTGGAAATGGTTAAGATGTGATAAGGTTCAGGTTATATTTGAAAGGTAGAGCTGGATAAAGAAAGGGAGAAAAACAAAATTCAAGGACAATGTAGATTTCTATTTTATGCAACTGGAAAAATAATGATGCTATTTACTGAGCTGAGAAACAATGGTAAGAAAGAGTAAGAAGATGGTGTAAGAGTTATACTGTAGTTACGTTACATTTAAGAACCTAAGAAGTATTCAATGGCAATACTGAGGAGGCAGTTGCTGAAAAAATGTGTACTTCAGAAAAGAGGTTTAGACTGGAGATATAAATTTGTGAGTCCTTGAATTGGATGAGAAAAACTAAGGAGTTATTAGAATCTAGAAAAAGAAAGGGTTGAGCCCTTGAGATATCTCAACATTTGGAGACTGAAAAAGTATAAGCCAGAAAGAGATTAGACTGTCAGTAATACAATAATGTCAAGAACATCAGGGGGAAAAGTGGTCCAAAAAGCGAGATGTGATCACCTGCACTGAGTTCTACCAAGAAGTAATCATTCATTGATTATAGCTTGGTGGTGTGTAGGTTATTGGTAACCTTTACAAAGGAGGTTCAGTTGGTCTTTAATAAAAATGTAAATTTATTAATAAATATTGCAGAGAGAGAGATTACAGCATGATTGTATGCTGATGAAAATGATTGAGGGTTACATAGATAATGTAGGAAGGAGAAAAGTAAGTGGGGATGTGAACTGGGCACAATATGGAGAGGCTGGACTTAACTGGAAGTAGGAACATTTCATTCATTTTATCAGGAGGTTAGTCATACAGACATGCTGCTAGATTTTCCATCATAAAATCAAAACAAAACAATGTAATAACAAAATCCTTTGATTTTTACAGTCTTTTCTAAGTACCTCCTCATTTTTCTACTCTCCTTACACCAAAATTTCTCCTCCAAACAGTTGTGTGTATTCACTCTTTCCAATGAATCTCTTCCATTTCTCTTTTGAACTTAATACCAATCATGCTTTTATATAAAGGAATCAATGAAACAGGAGGATAGTACAAATCTTTGGTAGACAACTACAAGGAGATATTATAGTCTGATGGCCTGAGCTGAAAAGCCCTGGAGGGAGAGTAGAAATTTTCTGGAAGCACTAATGAGAGCAAAGGGAAGACCTCCTTCAGTTTCAGGTTCTGTGTTTTGTGACATGTGGGATGGAGAACAGTCATTACTTGAGAGAGGTGTAGGGGAAAAAGAGCCCTCATGGAAAAGCAGCTTTTTGTTAGAATGAGATGATAAATGGAACGTTCAGAAATTTGTGGTCAGAATACTGTATAAGAGACTCTGCTGATGGCAGGCCATGACTTTCAGAGGAAATATTAAATGAGTTTGGAGTTATGATGGGGTGGGGTATTAGGTTAGAATCAGACACATGGAAAAGAAAGCTTGGGTGTTGATGAATAATGACTCAGGAGGATTGTGTTTTTATTGATGACTGAGGCAAATAGTGAGAAAGCTGTGAAGACATTGGCCTAGGGTGTCTCTCAGGGGAAGGTGAGTATCAATTATAACTATAGGTTTCTTTTTTGGGATTCATCTTTTAGAATTTTTGTAGTGGTGAGAATGGCAATAATGTGGTGGTAACTATGGAGGTAGGAACAGGGGACCAATAGTTCTGGTGTGTATTAAGAACATGGGCTTAATAATACACCAGTATAGGGGCTTCTCCTAAATTCAGCTGAGGATCAGGTAAGGGCCAGGAGAATGCTTGATCTAACTAAGAGCCATGGAACACTGAAAGCCTAACTTAATCCAAGATAGCCATGAAATTCATAGATGGTAGAGGGTAGCATTATGGCTGTAGGAGCACATGGAGTTTGGTGGCCATTCTTTAAATGCTGCTGAGGGGGCACCATGGTTGGAAACACCTCCGTGTTTAGATCTAGTCTAGGCTACTCGTGGATGACTTTAGCCACTGTTTACTCATGCATACAACGGGGATCATAATAGAACTTAGCTTGTAGGGTTATTATGAGAATTACACAAATGTATGTGAAACAGTTAACAGAATGCCAAGCACCTGGGAAATATTAAAAAATATTAGATAGCTCATAAACAGTGGGTGACCATATCACTGCCCTCTAATAGTGGGCTTAGTGAGGTCATTACATCTCAGAATCAGAAAGAGCTTATAGCCAACATAGCTCAAGAAAATGTACTTAGTTTCAAAACAATGTAGATTGATTTTATTTGTTTTATATCTAAGTCATATTGGGAACACAGTCTCTAATGTTTATTTAAACCATAATTTAGAATATTCTTTGCTGATTTAACAGTGCATCCAAAATGTAAGCTCCACAAGAGTAAGGGTATTGTCAGTTGTGCTCATTGCCATATCCCAAAGGCCTTGAACAGTGTTTGGCACATATAGTAAGTACTTAATAGTTTAAATTAATTGCCCAATAAATGAGAGGATTTAAGTATCATTTTTATTTGATTTTCGTGCTAATGGAGATGACTATGGGATAATTCTCTACTTGGGCAAGCATAATTTGAACAATGGCATGATAACAGAGTCTATCCTTAGGTGCAGGGAGTCAGGTATAAATCTGTGGCTGGTCATAAGAAACATGGAGCCCAGCAGTATCTGTTCAAATTATTTACTGCTCTGCCCATCAAAGGAAAAACATTTTTAAAACTCTACAATAAAAAAATTAAAAGGATATTACTGACAATAGCTAACATACTTATACCTTCCTTAATATGTGCTAACCCTGTTAATAGTAGTTTATGTTTATGAACTCAAATTTCACAACAATCCTGAGGAGCATCCTGTCATCACAGTCATATCCATTATCACCATCATTACCATCATCACCATCATCACCATCCTCTTCATCGTCTGCATTTTACAGATGAATAAATGGAGGCACAACAAGGCTAAGTTAGTTTTCTTAAGATCCCCCAAGTAATTTGTTGATTTGAAACTTAGCCATGATTTGAATCCTGAAAGTTTGGCTTCCAATTCCTTGTATTTGACCACAGTATTGCACTTCCTCTCTAGATCACTGTCTAGTATGCAGGAGGGACAGCATCATGGTTTTTTTCTTCTTCATCATTTGTAAGGAAAGTGAAAATAACAACTACCATTTATTGAGTGCTTTCTATGTGACAAACACCACACTTAGAAACTTATGTTATTCCTGGTCTTTATAAAAAATATTTGAGGTGGAAGTTATTATCTTCTCCTCTACAGATAAGAAGCTGAAGCTGTGGTCATAATTTCCTCAAAGTCACAGATTTCATTTACATAGCTCCAAAGTCAGAAATCTATCTGTGACACGCCATATCATAAAATGTTACTAATAGGAAAATATTTCTTTCTTCAGAACTGGATATAAATTAAACACGATTGCTTCATTGCAGTTATTTCATTGTCTATAAATTTATATTGAAAAATTAAAAGCCAAAAAGACTCTATCTAATATGGAAATTTAGTGAACATTTGTTGTATTTCTTATCTCCTTATCTATCAAGGTACTACCTATTTCTTTCTTTTCTTTCACCATTTAACATCTTTAAAGGAGAGGTTACATTTTACTTTCACAGTTATCTCAATGCATGTGTTAGTATTTATGATGTATATAGATACACATATAACATGCATGTATTCATAAATAATATATGCGTATATTATTTGTATGTTTAATAAGTAGAATCACATTGTATGTATAATTTTGCCATTTTCTTTTTTTACTGAATGTATTTTTGAAATGAACGTTTTCTTATGTAATAATTTAGTCCATTTATTTTAATTGCTAAGTAATTTTCCACCATATAAAGAAACCACAGCCTCAATTTTTTTTTGCATGACTCACTTCCCAATCTTTTGAATGTTGGCTTCCTCCTGCAGTTATCACTTGAAACTGCTCCATTAAAAGTCACCACATCTACTAGATTTTAAAAAATACTCATCATTTTTAATCCATCCTTACATTTGGTGCTGTTAATTACCCTCATTTTCTTGAAATTTCCTGCTTTCTTGATTTTCGGTTTTGTGAAAGTACACCTTTCTTGATATCTTTGTTCTTCTCCTTTTTGTTGTGTAAATGCAGGTGTTTCCCAAAGTTATATTCTTAATTTTCTTCTTTCTTCCTTGACAGTCTCATTCATATCATGGCTTCATATTGCAAATAACTCTCCAATCCATATTTGATTTGTTTCCAGTTGTCTGCCAGACATTGCTAGTTGGATGTCACACTTGACCTAAGTATGCACTTTTCCTCTTAAATTTGTTCCTCTTTCTCTGCTTCCTATTTAAGTAAGTGGCAGTGGCACCATCTTAGCAATCATCCAGGATCAAAAGCTTGGAATGATTTATAAGTCCCTTGGGTCTCATCAGTTGCCAGGACCTGCAAATTACTGTTCTATTCATTCTGTCAAATTGGTTCCCACTGCCACTACCCTAGTTTAAACTCCATGACTTCTAGGCTTTTCACAATAGTATAACTTGTTTTCATATTACTAAGTGTCTTTCCGCTTCCTAGGCATCCTCTATCCTGCTTGATTAATTTTCCTAAAGCACAATTCTGTTCATCATATTTCCCTGTTTGAAAGCTTTTAACAGCTCTCCATTGCCTATAAAATAAAGTCCAAACCCTTTAAGCTGAAATTCTGCTTCTCTGCAAATTGATTTGTTTACCCCTTCAAACTTATTATTTCTCTATTTAATATTCCTCATATGCCTGTCAAATTGGACATCTTGCTCTTTCTGTTATTTGCTTGTATAGTCTAGGTTAAATTGTGGTAACAAGCTGCTCCAAAAGTTGTGTCTCAAAATAACACAAGTTTATTTCTTACACAATTGATGTAGTCATTTCAGTCCAGCCAGAATGTTCTCTGTTCACTGCAGTCACTCAAAGACCCAGGCTAAGGGAACAGCCACCATCTTGAATGTTGCTGCTCTCTATCACGTAGGAAATAACTTTAGAGGGTTTTGCACTAGCAATTAAATATTATGGAACAGAAGTGATAAACATCACTTCAATTCACAACTCCCTGGCCAGAATTAGTCACATAGCCCTAACTCATTGTTAGTGAAACTAGAAAGTGCAACCGAACATGTGGAACAGGAGAAGAAAAACAGATATTGATGAACAGCATTGAAGACCGACACAGTTCCCAATATTTATTTTTATCATTTTTCTTCTGTAGACCAATGCTCATGAAACTAAAAATATTCTTCATTCTCTTCTATTCTTGTTCAGATCCTGCTTACTCTTAATTCCCAGCACAGCTATCACATCTTCAGTGAATTATTTCCTAATCATCCCAGACAGACATATTCTCCCTCTCCTCTAATTTCTCATAGTCCTTTATTTTTGAGATAATCATTGTTATCCTGTGGTTATGCATTATTTCCTAGAAGTCTGGATACTTGATTTTATACAAAAAACCTTATGTAGTCAAGGGTCAATAAAACCCTTGACGACATAATTTTTTCAGTGAATACATAATTCCCATAAATTGAATCAGAGTGTATTCTGATGACTTAGAGATTCATTTCTTTTGAAAGACTGACTTCTTCTATTACCTATTTATAGGGGAGATGTTTATTCCTCATTATATATAAGGTTGGATACTATATATATGTGTATATGTATGCATACACACATATACACACACATATAATCATTGTATATCTACATGTATGATATATGTATATTTATATATCTTATGTATATATACATATAGTTAGCAGCTCCTAGCTACTATGGTATAAATATAGAGTAAATTAATTATGAATCTGCCTTATTCTCACTCTTCTCACTCTGAAATTGCTGGCAGTGCTATTATAACTCTTTTCAGTCTTCCTTTTCGATAAATGGTTTATTTGACCATTGCCCTTTGGTAGCAATAAGATAGACAGTCTAAGGGCTCTTTCCTGTGTGAAATACTTTAAGGAATGTCCATAAGGGTAAAACACAAGTGACAAGATAAAATTAAAGTAGTGAAATCCTGTCCTTCTGTCCTTCTTCCTTCCTTTCTCCTTTCTTTATCAAAGATTTATTGGATCTTTGATTTATCTGTATATGATACTGTGATAAGATACAATATTGGAATAGACACAGACCCTGTCTTGGGGGAATGTTACAGTCCAGAAGGAGTAATAACATACAACCTCCCTGCAGTAACTTGACTTGAAATTACTGTTTTCCCAACTATACACCTGGCCAATGGTTGCTCAAGCTTTAAATCTCAGATTAGGTGTTCTATCCTCTGGAAAGCCTTCCTTGATTTCCCAAGTTTGCTCTAGCACTTTAATAGTGTTTTGGATGGATTAATTAATTATTTCTGAGGAAAGAGCTCAGGGAAGTTTTAACAGAGGAAATGATTGAAAAAAAAGTCTGAAAAATGAATAGAAGTTTGCCAAGAAAAGCAAGAAGGGAGAAAATTGTCCTTATCCAAAGGTGGCAATGATACGTTGAGCACAGGAATCTATGAGCAGATTTCTATTACTGGAGCTTAAATTGTAAAAACTGTGGGAAAAGAAGTTGGGAGAGATGCAGGAAGCTGATTCTGAATGGCTCATTTGCCATGCTATGGGGAACCTCTAACGAAATTCAATAAGTGAAGTGGCAGGGCCAGATTTACTTTTTAGAAATTATACTATTGATAAAGTATGCAAAGTAAACTTGAAGACAGGGGAACTATTATAAGACATTCCCAAGGATGAGATAATTAGATTTCAAAGTAACATGATGGAAGGGGGTTCAGAAGAAGAAAATAGACATTTGGGAGAATAAATAGAAAATATGCGGTAACAGCCTGCTTGTAGTAGGCAAAGGAGAATAAGAAATTAAGAATGTTATTTTGTTTTCTGACTTGCACAATTGAATGGCTAAAGATCACAGATGAAGAAAGTACAGAAGAAAAAGTTGGTTTTGAGGTTGAATTAGTTAAATTGGGAACCTCAATTTTCTCTCTTGAGAAGGAGGAGTTGACATTCACTGCAAAGAATAAAAGCATAGGAGTTGGCTAGGGGTTTTGAGTGGCATGACACATGTTTTGAATTATAAGGGAAACGAGAGTGGGAACTGACAGAGGACAAGTAAACCTTTATGAGCAATTGAAAGAGGCAAGCTGAAGTTAGAGGGTATAAAAATTTAGTAGTCCCAGTCTATAAGTTTGTATTACTATTGTCAACCAAACTCAGAGGTGAGTACAGGGATGGACAATTTGCATGATTAATCCAGGGCTAAAAATATGTGACAAAATGATGTAGTTGCGAAGGAGTCAAGGGTGGTTGTGAGCTTCCATAAGGAAGAAAATAAAGCAATTAAGGAATAGGGTGGACTCAGGAGGGGTTCTAAAGATTTTATAAGAGGGGTGTCCAATCTTTTGGCTTCCCTAGGCCACATTGGAAGAATTGTCTTGGGTCACACATAAAATACACTATCACAAATGATAGTTGGTGAACTAAAAAAAAAAGCAGTCACAAAAACATCTCATTATGTTTTAAGAAAGTTTATGAATTTATGCTGGGCCACATTCAAAGCCATCCTGGGCCACATGTGGCCCACGGGTTGGACAAGCTTGCTCTACAACATGGAATGGCATGTATAAAGAAAGTGGTTCCAGAAGGGAAGCAGAAAGGTAAGGTGTGATCAGAGAGCAGGAGAGCAGAATTTCTGATTTCCAAAGTAGGGAGGAGTTTTGGTTCCTGAGAAGGTCTAGGAGGAGACATGAACAAGGGTTAAGGCGGAAGAGTGAAGGTGAGCCCTCTAGAATTGAAGGGATGGTTGACAGCTATGAAAGGATGGTGAGGAGTTCTTTCATATGGACATTGAAATTGTTCAGGATAATAAAGAGGCATTCAGGCAGAAGAAGCCTGTAATTTGGGTAACCTCCGTGATGAATATGGAGGCTATAACCTGGAAGCCACATGAAGATGACATAAACAAGGAAGGTATGTTTTGTGAACAAGTAAATTGACTTTGGTGTAGAAGGATTTTTTTATTTTTATTTTTGTATTATAGTGTAAGCATAAAATGGTCCCTTAGGAGAAACCTGAAATCCCTTGAACAGAAGGTCAAAATGAGGAGGGGGTGAAGTGGGGGCAGTTTATCATGCTCCCATTTGCACGGTACTGAAGTGTAAAAGAATGAAAGACCTTTACTAAAAAAATGCTGCAAAGAAAGTTCTGCCTTTGGGGAAAAGCCAAATTTGAATTGGAGCGAGCAATTGGAGGGGACATTGTTCTGTAAAGAGGACTAAGGATGTAATGTTTATGTCCTGAGATTAGTTCAAAAAGGAGAGGATCAAGAAGGAGACAAGAGAACAGGGTAGATGTTACATAAGCGGCCAAAGATGGGTTCTGCGTATCTCATACTGTTCCCTTATTTACAGCTGGAGAGGACCACTAGCCCAAAGACTGCTAGCACGAAATTCAAATTCCTACACACCTAAGTGATTTAAATATAGCTCAAAGAAGACTATGTTTAGCCATTTAGAACTTCCCTACTTTACATATTCCATAAATTTTTACCTGGGTGATGGTAGTCAATTATAAGCTTGGGTGGCATGAATGTAATTGACCTTAAACATCCAAACTTTAGGGCCCAGTTATCCTGATGCTAGAACCAGCTGAGACCATTAGTTGTAAAACATAAGTAGAAATCTACAGGGCCTTCTTCTTTACTAGATGTAATAGACTATGAGTACCAAATTAATATAACTAAGGAAATATAATGACAAAAACAAGGATATGTTAACTCTTCTTAGAGAAATGAAAGATAATCATGGGGGAAAAGATTGCAATTAACACTATATCCTTTAGCTAAATTGATATGTTTCTAATTTTTTCAAGTAAATTTATGTGTTTCAATATATTACATTTTACGAACAATCTGTTTAGACTTGTATATGCCCTAGAGAAAACTGTATAATTTGGGGAGTCCTAAAGGGTATCCTTTTGTAAAACAGAACTTATGTATTGTAGTTGTTCAAATCAAGTCACATATGAAAGTTTTAAAATAATACATGGAAATCAAGTGCTAATGCAGTGATAGGAAAAGTGCATTCATATATGGATTTAGATCAAATAACCAATTTGACCCTTTGTACAAATGTTTGTTTAACTATTGTGGTTCTCTTTGAAAGGATTTCCTTCTCCTCCAAACTTTCAACATGTGTAGTTGAGTATGTCTGGGACTCAGAATTGTATTTAGAAATAGAATCTATAAAATTAGGTTTTTCTAAGGAATTTAGGTTGAAGTTTGTGTATATGTTTGCATGTATGTGTACCTGTAGGTGTGTTTGTATTGTGTTCATGAAAATGTGTGAGTGAGTGTGCATTTGTGGTGGGTAAATATGTGTGTCAAGGGGGCATTATAAAGATATTTTCAGATGCATTTAAGATAAGAAGGAAGAGCTAGAATTCTCAGGGCTGGAATTCACTCTCATGAGACTCACAGCCTGATTAATGTCCTCTTATACTGCAAGGGTTCCAGTTATTTTACAATCTGTATTGGCTGTGTTTCTTTTGAGTTTGAAACTTCTATTGCAAATAGAGGACAGCGAGACAATCTGACCCAATAGGTGGGGCAAATAGGCTTTAAATCATATGTATTCTCAAGATAGTCAACAAGTCATTTTGAGATGACAGATGAGCAGACAAAGCTTTTGTGTTTACCAGGTGGAGGTGAATTAAGCTATGGCAAGAAGGAACAAGATGGAGAGCAGCAGTGCAGGGTCAGGAAGTATTTCCCAGCTTCATTTTTTAAAGTTTTTAAAGGGCCACCCGAATTTAAATTAAATCTCATAAATCTTGGCATAAAATTATATAATATAACACTAGTCGTTTTAACCAAAATTGGAGTTATTAAGTTATTGTACGATCCTAATCAATACCCTCTGGTTCACTTTGGTAAAACAGCAGCAAAATCATAAATCAAGCTCTTTGCTTTGTATTTTAAATTAAATTGAGAAAATGTGGTTGTGAACTTTCCTAAACTGATGTATTTTGAGAATTTAATTTAAAATTTAAAACTGTTTTAGATCAAAATTTTAATAGGAGAAAAAGCATTTTTTAAAGAAAATATATGCATGGGTCAATGTAAAGTATTCTGTCACACTTTTTGAAAGTTAATTCTTTGTCAGTCATGCACCATTCTTCCTAAGAATAGAATACTAATAATTCTGCCTGCAGAGAATCATGAAGACTTGGTAGTTAATGAAAACTAACCATGGGAAGGAACAAATCCAACACTTTCTGCTATCTAATTATCTCAGCATAATTAACATTTTTCTAGATTTAGTGCCTAAATCCTTTTTTTTCCAAACTTGAATTTCATAGTCTTTTTGATTACACAAATATGATAGTCTATCATATATGTGAACTGGAGAGAGCACATAAGGAATAATTAAATTCACCTGGATTTCTTTGTTTCTTTTTAACTTCATCTCCACCCCCTAAGTTTTAAATGCAAATTTAAAATACTGCCTCTCTGCAGACAATCACACCATCACCATTTCTTCCTTCTCAATAAAATGCAACTTCTAAGATGTGTCTAAATAAAAACAAAGAAATCACACATTTAAAGATAATTAGTGCTTTTGCTTGAGAAAGATTTAGCCATTCTCGAGACATGTTTCTATGTCCATATAAATCAGTGTTAATCATTTGGGTATGTCCAAACACTTGATCGAAGGTTCACATTTTGCCTCTCAAAAGTATTAGTTCATAATTCATTGAAATACTTTTAAGTCTCAGGGAGAAAGAGAGCAAATAGCCTAAGATACTTTCTCCTTGACCACTATTGTAAGTGTGGTTAAAGCCAAAGAAAAGGCCAGTAAATGAGAAAAATGCAAATGTTCATCATATTCCACTGCTGTTTTGACACAGCAATTAGATTTGTGCAGAACAGCAAGATTGTTCCAATTCTATTCTCCCAAACATAAGTCTTAAAAAAAGAGGTTACATTTGTGACTGTAGCTCGTGGAGCATCCAATCTGGCATCCTGAAAATCCATATGTAAGCCACACTTATATCTTAAACCTGTCAAACAAATAAATGTACAGAAGCAGTAATTTATGTACTTTATAGACTGTTTTGCCCTTTTAGAGCAAAAGCCTAATTTTCAAGTGTTGCTATTTTAACTTCTGGCAGTGCCTGGGAGATAACTGAGGTTCAAAATGTGAATTTTACAAGTAAAATGTGATTCAAAAATTGATTTACCCTGTTCTCACTACATGTGAGACAGAGAAGAGAAATGCTGGGTGTTTGTGAGCTTTAGGCAAGGGGAAACATATTGCTAAGTACAGAAGCCACGCAAAACTTTGCGGGTTTTCAGTTTAGAAGTGAACTTGAGCCTTTCCCAGTTCAAGTTCTGTTTAGGGCCGGCAAAACATGACTTTCTGATTCAAAGAAATAAGGCTTAAAAAGGCTTATAAAACAGGCTCACAGGCTTCTTGTACATCAAATAGCTCTTACACAATGGCATTTAGATGATTTAAGTGTAAATGAATCAAAGACATATGGATTGCATTTCCCTTGAAATACGCATGGGTTTTAAAATGAAGGGAAAACACACTTGCCAAAATCCTTTTTGGGTTGTGCTGCATCAAAAACATTTGGAAAATGACTTTAAATGTTTGGAAGAACCCCAGACATCGAGTTCAGCCACCCCTGGAGATTAAATCAGTGTCCTTCATCCAATGATAACTAGTCCCCTGTTTTGCAAAGACATTTCTTAAAAATGTCAAGTCCCAAACCTGACACTCCTGAAAACTGACTTTCTTAATGCTTGAATTCCTAATTCAATGATAGGGTCTTATTATGGAGTCTTCCCCCAGAGATTAGGAATCCATTTTGTGTTAGTTAAGCCACCAGAAGTACATTTCAATTTTACCCAATTTTTCAAGTGTGGTTAAAAATGTAAGTTCTCTCTGTCCTGGAGGTAAAAATTATGTTTCTAGGGAGCTGAAAGGAAATCGAGTTTTCAAGCTGAATGAAAGAACTAAATGATCAGAAGATAAAAATGGAAAACGTGTTTGTTGTAAATGTATTCAGGCAGGAGTTCTGACATCACTTAGCTGTTAGCATATTTATTTAAGAAAAAGAAAAGGAAGAAAGGAAGGAAGGAAAGGAAGAAAGGAAAGAAGGAAGAGAGGGAGGAAAGAAGGAGGGAAAGGAGGAAGAAAGGAAAAATACTGCGTGGTAAAGTGTATTTGGAATAAAAAAAAGATTGAGTGAAATGCAAAAATAAATTGGGTTTAACAGAAATAGGCAGTTTCATGAAATAGCTCAGCAGCAATAAGAACAAAACACCAATTACAACAAATTCAAACAGACTAACACACAGGAAAGTGACATGGTGACATGAGTGAAAAATGGGTTGGCACAAGTGATGAACAAGGTATCAAAAGGAACTAGAGAAGGCATGCTATACTGTTGAAAGAAAATGCATTAAATGTTGAAATCGAGAACAAAGACAAAACAGATGACAATACCTAAACTGAGAGAAGGGCTACAAAGGCACTCAGTAACTGAACTGAGGAGAGTATAAGAAGAGATCATATAAAACAGGTGAAGGGCTGTTATTTAAGTCTGTGCAGTCAAACAGCTTATATTAAAAAGACTAGATCAAATTTTGCATGCAGTTATGATGTGAGAGGAAACAGCTTTCAAAATTGTTTAATGACCTCCTGATAGGAAGGTTAACAGGATTATCACACAGTTCACTGGAGGATGGACAGCAACTCTCAGCATGTCCCTCACTCAACGTGTAATTCCAGTATTCTCCTTTATAGGGAGGTGCAATATCATTGTGCTACTCAAAAGCATTAGTTGAAAAGTCAGGATTCTTTTAATGAGGGAAGTTCAACATAAAAGGGAAATACGGAAGGGAAGAAAATGGGTACTAAAACCTGACCTCTTTTAGCGTAATTCTGCCCAACTAACTGTGGGGGTGTCTGGGAAGGCTGAACCCTCTAGAGATTTTAGTTTGCTCTGGTCTCCTCACATCTGACTGGGCTGCCTGCATCCTAGGTAACTAGTCTGACAGTCTTTGCTTCTGACATGTTACTGCTCCTCTGTTCTGCTCTCCAACCATTTCTTGTTAAAGTGGGGAAATATTCTCCACCTTCTCTTCTGTTATGCAGACCACAAAGCAGTACTGCTTTGTATTGTGAGCGTGCTGTGGAGACTAATGAGAAGGGTCTTTAGGATAGGTTGGCCTCTGCTAGTTGTGGCATTAGTACCAGCCGGGTGTGGGAGAGTGGTGATGGGGAAGGGAAGAAAGCAGTCCAGAAAATACTCTGAGCAATGCTCATTAGTTGCGGAAGAACAAATCATAGTTTTTGGCTTTGGACCACCCATCATTTTTACCCTAGACTTAGATTCTCTGACTCCTGAGAAATTATATTAGTCAGGGTAATTAGTGCCAGGCGCTATAACAAAACAACCTTAAAATCTTAGTGACTTCACCCACTACAGGTTTTTCTTCTGGCAGCTTTCCATTCCGTGATTCTGGAATCCCAATTCTTCCATCTTGTAGTGGAATTATTTTCTAGGGCCTCTGCAGAGTTTTCTGCTGTATCATCTGTATTTAGCTGGCTGGCTAACAAAGAATGAGGAAGATCACATGACACATTTTGTGGCCATGACTGGATGTGGTGAACATTACTCCCAAGACAGGGCCTAACCTTAACTGCAAAGGATGCTGGGAAATGTAGTTTTCCTAAGTGCTCAGGAAGAAAAAGTGTGATTGGTGAATATTTAGCCAGCCTCTGCCATATTCACGAAGGAGATTTTCCATACCCAATGTAAATTAACCCTCAGTGGATCTGTCTTCCCAGCCTTTTCTATATATTCAGATATATCTGAATTCATAAACATTATTTAATGTGGAAACTGAGACAGATTAAAGTATACATAGTTAATAAGTGGCAGACCTGAAATATAATTAAAATTTGCCTGAATCTCAAGTTATTGTTCTGTCTTCAAATTTTATACTTCAGGGAGCGGCATCAGGAACATTAGATTGGGAGGAAGTTGACTCGTTTGCACCCCTGGAGCCCTCTGAGATATGAGACCTTCAGAGGCATCAAAGGTTTGGTTCAGTTCGTACTATAATTAAGGGGAGCTCAGGGTACCTCTCCTGAGGTTACAGAGGAAACTGAGATTGATATTTTCTTGCAGTGGCAAGGAAGTGAAAATCATGGGGAAATAGAGAACACCTCCTCCTCCAAGTCCGATGCAGGAAGAGGGTCATGTTAAATGGCCTCAGAAAATATCTACACATCCTTTTCACCTTTCTTCAGAAGGCTGAGGAAAAAGTTAAGAGAAGGCCATTGAGAAGGAAAGACAAGATATGGCTTGGATTTTAGCATCATGCTTACATTGTAGCTTTTCTTTTTTTGGCAACTGCATGGGTATGGATGTATTTTTAACCTCACAGAGCCTCAGTTTTCTTGTCAGTAAAATGGGGAACGTGAAATGCAAAGTAGTAAGAATTAAATAATTTATACTAGTACTGTGCCTAAAAAATCAGAGGCATTGCAACTAAAGGTTTCTCCATTTTTCTTTTTATTAACACTTTTCTTTCATAAATGCGCCATCAAGGGGAAGCATGATGGTGGAAAGGCAATTCTCCCAGATGCTATGGAAGATACATGAGACAAAATGGTAAATAAATAAATAAATAAATAAATAATCAGTTTCTTCATTTATCCATCCATTCATTCAACAATTCATTCATTCTTTCACACATCTGCCAATATATACTCACTACTGACAAAACATCACAGTGGACATTAGAGAAATCTAAAATGGATAACATGACCCTTGCTCTCAAGATCTGTGTCCTCTAGCGGAGGAGCAGGCATATGCAAAAGTCAAGGAGATTACAAGGTGAAATATGATAAATGACATATTTAAATTAAGTACTGTGGTAGTGCAGAAGAGGGAGACTAGAGCAGGGAATATGAAAAGTTTAAGAGAAGCAGCAGCATTTATGTTGGAACTTGAAGAGTGGTAGTTCTGGGATTTTCTGTTATTAGGAGAAATTTCAGAGGAATAATCTTATTGGCAGGAGGCAAGAGTAAGTCTTTTGAAGTTAGGGTTGCATAGCATGAACACCAGTTTTCTTAGAATGTTTATTACAGATCAATAAAAATGAGTTAATTTTTAAAGATGCTTTTATTCACAGTCATAAAATTATAAAAATTAAAAAATTCTTATAAAACATTTCTTACTTCTTTATACATATTTACCAAAATGTTAATAATAGATACTATTTTAGTTAGTTTGCTTAAGGGCCTGTATTCTTTGGCTGCCATAACAAAATACTGTAGGCTGGGTGGTTTAAATGATGGAAATTTATTTTCTCACAGTTCTGGAGAATAGAAGTCTGAGGTCAGGGTGCCAGCCTGGTCAGGTTCTGGTGAGGGATCTTTTCCTGGCTTGCAAATGGCCACCTTCTCACTGTGTTCTCACATGGCAGACAGCAGGCTGTGGTGTCTCTTTATCTTCTCATAAGGGCACCAGTCCTGTGGGATCAGGGACCTACTTGTATGACCTTATTCAACCTTAATCATCTCCTTAAAGGCCCTGTCTCCAAATATAGTCACATGGCGAGTTAGGGCTTCAACATATGAATGTGGGATGAGGGGGGAACAATTCAGTCCATAGCAGGGGCTGATAGGATTCACCCGAGGTGCTTTCTCTGCCTTGGAAACATAGGTATAATCCCATTTGAGGGCAGATCAGAGAGGTAATAGGAGCAGAATGATTTGCTTTACCCAGTAATGCCTCAGAGTTGTCACAATTAAGCAGCTCAAATAGACAATGTCGGTATGATTTGTATGCTGGTAAGGCAATATCTATTTGAAATAGTAAACCAATTGACCTCTTCTTCACTTTTAGAGAAACCTTTGAAGATTCTCATAAGACTAGATATAAATTTCAGAATTTTCATTGCTAGTTTGCTGGAAAATCCACACAAATTTTTACAGATTGGCAAATATTTTTACAGCTGTGTTGCATTTTGTTTTTTCTTGCAGGTAATAGGTATTTTTCAGCCTACACAATTTAATCATGATTAATGTCATGTTCTCCAAAACAAACATATATGGCTTGTAGCAATAAAAAATAATCACTCTTAGTTGACTAAGGAGTGTGGGGACATCTAAATGTTTGCTAGAAGTTGAGAGTTAATTTCAAGGAGATGCCATCTTTCAAGAGTAACTACCTATTTGGCAAAACTGTTGCCAATAAAATATAATAAGAAGTTCTGATTCTTTTCATGTTTAGCTCACATATCATGACTATAATTCTGCTTCATAATTCACATTCAATTCTCACTTTACTTGTTATGTATTTAATACAGCTACATTGTGCTATAAAAAGAGAATTTGGACAGGATATCTGTTGGTGTTAAACTGCTTGTTTTTGTGTCCCCTCAGTCAGAACCATCCCTGGGGAAATGTTGGCCCTGGGGAAATCACATGGTGCGCTCTTTTTCCTCTACTTTGGCATTTTCATGCAACAGAAAGGATGTTCAACAGAACAGCAGTGACTCTGGAAAGGGAAAAGAAATCACAGATGGGCCAAGTGCAGTTTAGGAGGTGTGTGTGGAAGGAGGAGCAGGGCCAAGACAGCCTTTAGCCCATAAGGGACTTTGTTAGAATTAGAAAAAAAAGTACCACTTCCCCTGGGTGGACACAGCCAACCTCATGCCAGAGTATATGGCTTGGCAAACAGAGTGAACGCTGGACTTCAGCTCCCATTTCCCCCTTCAGGTGGGCAACTGTCTGCAGTGGTTTGGGTCTGGGCCAAGTTGAAGACTAAACGGAGAGATCAGCTCTTAACAGTACCCACTATTATACCTTGCACATATTAAGTAGTTGGAAGATGATGAGTGAATAATTTAATCACAATTATATTTGAACAGTACTCAATTCTTTGTAGAAGACAATATTCCAGAATGAGCTTACAAGCTTAGATTCCAAAGGTTTTCTATTAATATGAAAAAAAGCATTTATGAGCAGTGTGGTCAATTTGTAAAATTTTCCTCTTGAATAAGATGAATGATAGTCTCAGAGAAAAACAAACAAGAATTTGTGTTATTTAGTCCATTTTCTGATCCATCCAGGTAAATTTGAATATGGGATTATCTACGTTTTTGGGTAAAATAAAATGATGTTTCTCTTTATCAAGTCGGTTCAACACACTTTTATGCAACGTCTCCTGAGAGGAGAGTGCTGTGCAAAACCAGAGGCTGATATGATGAGTGATGGACCCTTTGCCTTTAGAGAGTTCCTCTACAACTAAGAGAGGGATTGAAATGTATGCTCAAGGGGCAACACAATGGTTTCTTCTTTAGGTCCAAGACCAGCTACATAATTTTTAGGGCTGCAATGCAAAATAGGATGGGTCCTGGCACTGCGCAGAAGTCAATCTCCCCTTCCCACTGGCTGCTGTCCCTATTTTTGGTGCAAAGATAACCCCCAAGGGATCACAACCTCTGGGCTGGGCCATGCTCAGTTCCTGGATCTAGGGTAGGCAAGAAACACTTTCCCAATCCCTAAACAAAGCCCAGGACTCTGTCAGCCCAAGGGAGAGACAGACATCCACCTACTTACCCTGAGATGCCATAGGCACCAGTATCTCACTCACAGGTCCCATTCCAGCGGAGTCATAACAGATACAATTTTTGAAGTTGGCCTTAAAGATTCATTTCAACAGTTCTAGAAGGAAAAAAAAAAGGCAATATAGGCAGAGATTGCTCCCTGAGGGAAAAGTATAAATGTGAAAATCCAGTCTTGTGTAAGGATTTCTGGTCAACAGAGGGCTCTGCTGATTCAGGGGTGGCTGGAGATAAGTATAGCATGACGTATTTTCATTCAGTAATCATTTATTAAGTGCTGACTAGGTCTCAGGCCATGTGCTAAGTGATGCTGTTATAATGTCAAGAAAAATCAGATGTGTTCTTTACCTTCATGAGTCTTATAAGCTCATGGAACAATTAGGGGAGGTTCTTGAATGTCGTTTACATTCAGGGTTTCTCTGCTGACCTGAGAATCCCTCATGCTAGAAACATTTGTCTTTTGTCAAATGTAGAAGTTGTCAAATATGGGCATCTTTCACCACTGCCATCCCTAAGTTTAAATTATTTCTTTTTCTATATTGCATTTATTACTATGTATTCCTATCACTCTAATGCTAAAGACTAATACATTTTTAACTTATTTTTTACTCCTTTTCACTGTTTATTGTTAGTAATAGTGAAGACAGGAATATGTTACTGAGGATGACTTTGCCAGAAGGTCACTTGTAGTTTGGTTGGTTGGAATTCAAAGCATATTATCCACTGTTTAACATCACTCACCAGCCCCTAGGAACATATTTAGTCCATATGTACCTGCAATAAGTTCTATCGAATATAACTACCACATGAGAGAGTGATTCTAAGGGAAAACCCACTAAAGAAATTCTGAGAAAATAAAATTTGTGACTTATCAGAAACAGATATTTCCTGGTGTAACATGTAAGAGTTTTTCTGTGGTCATTTCCCACAACATGTCAGGGCTGCTCTCTAAGGAGAAGAATGGGAGCTAAGATTAACCCTGAGGCTTGGATGTGGAAGGAATGAAGGACAAAAGTACAGATACATGAGACAGTAGAGTTGAGGGCAGGTCTGGGTTGGCATGGGTGAGGAAGAGGGATATAGTAGTGGGTGACTATGGACAACCAGAAGACAGGGGGTACCTGAATGATAATAGACATGAAGACTGAGAAATTGAAAAGAGAGGCAGAAATTAGGAGGGAGGGGCCAAGTTGTTATTTCCTAACTTCAGCAGAATTGTGGTAGTGCCAACATTTTGCCCACCTACTGAAAGCCATCCTGGAAATTGTCAGGTAATAGGAGCAGAAAAGAACATAAGATTAGTGAGAAAAAAAAATGAGGCTATGTTATGTGGAATATATGATAGAATGTATGCTTTACATGGATAGAGAATATGTCTTGTTCATTGCTTACTTCCCAGTGCTTAACCCAGTTCCTTGCACTCTGTAGGGGATAAATATATGTATTTGTGTATTATATAATTAATAAATAAATGGGACGAGCTTTATAAGTGGAAGTGGAGTTTTAAAAAGTCAAATCCATGGGCTGTTTGCAGCTGATTAAGCTACTCTGATGGTTATAAGTTAAGATTCTAGAAGAGTGTGGTTGTTTTGAATTCAGGTGCCAACTGTCACCATCTCTGTAACAATGGGCAAGTTTTGGTGTCGGTTTCTTCTTTCATGAAATGTGGGCAATTATAGTATTTGCTTCATGGGATAATTGTGAAGATAGGATGAGATAATGCAAAGCATTTTGTGCCTAGCACATAGTGAGTGCTCAGTACATTGTAGGTGTGGTGATGAGGATGGTGACAACTTTGCTATTGAGAGCAGTTCCCAGCTCTACAGAGAGGTTTCAAGTTTTCCGAAGATAAGACCACACTCTGCCCTTGCCAAATCTGAGGCAAGAAGAGAGTGATCTCTCTGAGAATCTTCTTTAGCCATCTTGGAAGGCTGTGTGTGGCCCCGAGTCTGGCAGGGACAGAGCTGAGCAGAGCTGTTCACAGCAAATCTGCGATGATGATCTTCTCATCTGTCTTCTAAGCTGTAGGCGGCTCCTTCTTTGGGAAGCAAGTTATAATCAGAACTTGGAACAAGCTACCCTCCAAACAATGCTCTCATTGCCTTTTCTGCCATTTAATTAATGCCAGTCTAATTTTATAGAAAGTATATAAATATGATTTATGCATATTTGTACCTATATTTTTCTGTGAGGTTTCCATGAGGTACATAGCCATGTAAATCATATCCTTCTGATAAATACCTCTGGCCTGAATACTTAATGTTATTTTTTATAGCCACATTTGGGTAATTTAGCAAATAGAGGGATGGATATGCTTAACCTAACCTTCAAGTTCTCAATGACTAGAACTAAGAGGTGAACCTCTTATTTTTTTCAGTTATATTTTGCTGGGGGATTTAGGTAGATTTCAGCTGATAGCATTCAAGATCCGTTTTGCTAATGCTTTCTTTCCAGTTCTTGTCAATCTAACTCAAGAAACAGACAGCAGTCTATGGGTTGCCACTTGAAGGTTATGAGGACATGATCCATACATTCTGTTTTTAGCTTCACTTCTAGTGAATATAAAATCAAGTCAGGCCATGATTTAAATGGCCTCAAATCCTGAGTAAGTTTCCTTACAATTTCTGCAAGTTTTAGCAAGGACCAGTTGGGTGTAGTGGAGTGACTTTGCTGAACTTCCCTTGCACTGTATCTGTAAGCATGGATATCAAAGAGCAGATTTCATTAGAAGTAACTTTGGAGAATTGGGAGAAATGTCTTTTCTTTTTACCAAACATGGATTTTAAAAATTACACAGAGATAAGCATTGTCAAGTCTCACGAAGTGCAATCATAAGCAGAAGGCTTGAAACCTGTTTTTGCCTAAACCTTTATTGGATTTAGTAAAAAACAACAGTAATAAATTGTATTCAAAAGCACTTTGATCCCTTTGCAATAGTATTATTACAAAAGCAGGGTCTACAAAACATTTCCCCTTTTTTCATTTGGGTCAGTTTTCCATAGGCTTCCCAAATCATCTAAGTCTGTGTTGATAATTCCAGAGACAAAGGGTTGTTCAGGCTGTAGTGCCTGACACTTGAAACTTGGTATTGTTAGACAATGATTGTAGCACTAATCTTGCATTTATTTTCTTGAAATTTTCTGTGGGAATAACAGAATCCAAAAGATGAAAATGCAAAAATGTGTCATTAAAACACTTAATACAAACATACCTATTCTATTTTCCTCCTAAAATTTTCAGATTTATTTAATCTTTTCACTTTATTCTTTGTTTCCCCAAAATAATATTTTAATGTTTGAAATGCTAGTAGTCAGTATCTACAATTGATACTCCATAGGGATGTAAACAGTAATAACACGGCAGTAAGTTGAGGGATACATCTTTGGCTAAAACTTTAGCCAAAGATGTATATATCTTTGGCTAAAAGAGGGATATATCTTTGGCTAAAAGAATAATTCTTGAATGGCTATAACTGCATTTGATTTTTTTCTGATGTTACCCTGTCACATAAAATCTAGTACCTCATTGATTCTTCCTCATCCTTTTGCCAAATTATTGCCCCAGAATAGAAGATTTTAAATATTCTCCAAATTCTTTATTTAACAAATATATAATCATATTTGTGATCTACATGACATAGGATGCATGCAAGTTATAAAGCTGTAATTTTGCTTTTATTTTTCAACAACCCCTCAAGAAGTCAAGGCAAATAGAAGAGTCTATTTTAAATGTGACGACATTGAGGTGTAGAAGGTTAAATGGCTGACTTGCTTAGATGGTCTGTGACATGGCAGCTAGAGGGAGTCAGGTCTCCTGATCCCTATGTACAAGATTGTCTTTACTACCCTGTACAAAATGTTAATTGTCAGACAGACCTCTAAGAGGTAGAGGGTTGGCCAATTCTGTGATGAAACAGCTATAGGGAGCAAAGGATACTCATTCTTTGAAGTTTATTATGGCATTCCTGGACATCTAGCTCCCTGGATGCTTCCCTGAATTAGTCTTAAGGTGTAATGGTGATTTCAGGCATGCTAGAATATAGCATCGGAGACCTGGGGAGGTCCAGGTAGTGGACTGGAATAGCTGCAGCTATTAAATATCTAGGTCATCCTTTATATAGGGTTGTAATGTACACTCTAGCTTCTGACTTCAGTGCTGATAGAAAGAGGAAAAAAATCCATCCTGGTAAAATGTAGTCAGACAGCAGTTTGTCTTTCCAAAACATTATTAGGTATTATTACAGAATGTGAACACCTTTCATTCCTGACAAACAGGAAATGTATGCTGCACTACTGGTATGTCAATCAGAGTGATAGCATCAATTTTATGGTTTTTAATTCATCCCCACCTCCTGCCGAGCCTTTTGCTCATCCCAAATTATGAATCTTAAAAGGTGCATGATTAAGAAGAAAAAAAAAATATGTCTCTGCCTGTGTGAACTCCTATGTGAAGAGCATGGAGCCAGATGTTTAAGAGATTTGTAAAGCAGGTGCTGACCACTCAGTGACTGGACAAGCAACTTACTTTTCCTGAAGCTGGGAGTGCCCCTGCATGCTTTCACTGTGGTACTTCACTAGTAGCTCAAGCAGATCTTTTTTAATATGCATTGCCACCTTTGAATTTGTAAGGAACGGAAAGAAGATAATGTATTTTAAATGCTATATTTGTCATTCCATGATGCTTCAGAATTACGTTTTCAATTTAAGTTTTGAGTGTCTATTTCTTTAGCTGTGATGTTTTGTTGCTTTTTGATATATTAAATAAATACAAAGCCAATCCTGGAGCCTAGCTTTGAATGAATCAGAGCAACGTCTCTCACAATTCTTTTCTTTCTACCCCTTAATTCTTTTCTTCAACACATAATGAAAATAAAGAGCATTGTCAGTTCGGTATAAAGTAAGACTGTTTAAAAATAAATAACGTGTGTTTATGTGGTGTGCGCACACACATACACACACAATCTACTTCATAACAGGGGGTTTGGGAGCCTGGGGTGTCTGAATCTGTCCTCCCATGCTCCTCTCTTGTTTCTGGTGAGGAGCCATTTTTCTTGTTTTTCTATGCAGCTCCACCTGGACTCCATTTGCTGCCACAAACTCTGCAAATATCACACACTTATTTAAGATTTAGGAATGTGATCTGATAGTTACTGATTGGAAGGTGAAGCAATAATTAACAGTTGGTCAAGGTCAATTTTCTCTCCTGATGCTGACTCCTAAGAGAATATTTCATCGTTGACAGACAATTCTCTATTTGCTGATAGCACATGATGACATATTTCATGGATCTTTAATAAGAACGCTCACTGTGTGGTGGCCTCCATGTTTAAATCACGCTTGGCCATGTCAGCCTTAACCTTAACATTTTTAATGCTTGAGTGTTCCGGCAAGAGTACATGGAGGCTTCAAGTAACTCACATGGCATTTTCTTGTACAGAATTTCTTATTCTACTTTTACCACAACTTCTTTATGATTCATAATTAAAGTATGCTGGTTCTCTTCCATGCAAGACAGCAAATATAAAAAAGAAGCAAGAACACTTCTTTTTCTGGTGGGGCACCAGCATAAAATATTAAGTTTTGAGGGTGATGATAACTAAGTATGTACAAATGTGGTTATTGCAGTAAGGCCTGCCTTATTGGGAGGCAATGCCCCAAAGAAAAGCTGCCTTTTCCATTTGAGAAGACAGAAGAGATCAAGGATCCTATCAAAGGAGTCTCCTATGAGGGCTTGGTCACACTCTTCATATATGCAGTGTTAGCACTTCCAAAGTGAATTTACATATTCTATCTCATTTGATTCCTCAGTTAGGTATTCTGCAACTGTATTATGGGCGAGAGAGCTGAAGCTTACAGATGTTAAACAGCTTGCTTAAGGTCACGTAGATGGTAAGTGTTGCAGCTGGATTTTGAACCCATGTTTCCTGACTCCAAATTTAATACTTTTTGTTCTATCCTATAGTTGCTAACTGTTAGTACAACTTATTTGGCACTTTTTGTGTTTAAATTCCCATTAAATTATTTTATTATGGATTCCTCAATAACACTGACATGTTCTATAACAGGGATTTGCACATGGTGCACACAAAATGAGTACTTTTGATTAACTAATGGATTAGCCGGTTTTCTTCATTCTCCCTTCATGTGGTATAGCATTTAATAATATCACAAATGTTTACAGTCATTACAAGGACTTGTTAGATTTTGAGAACATAAGGTAGTTGTTATGAACTAAAAGTTTTGTCCCTCAGAATTCATGTGTTGAAGGCCTAACCCCCAGTGTGGCTGTATTTAAAAATGAGACCTCTAAGGATGTAAATTAAGGCTAAATGTGGTCATAAAGGTGGGCTCTGATTTGACAGGATTAGTGTCTTTATAAGAGGAACGATCAGAGAGTGGTATCTCCCCCCACTCTCCACCATACACGCATAGTAAAAAAAAAAAAAAGCCATATGATGACATATGAAGCCATGGAGACAAGAAAGACTTCTACAAGCCAGGAAGCGAATCATCTAGAACCTTGAACATAGCCGCCTAACCTCCAGAACTGTGAGAAAATAAATTTCTGTTGTTGAAGCCATCCAGGCTGTTGTATTTTGTTATGGCTCCCTTAGCAAACTAATAAAGTGATTAAAGCCACACTTCATTCAAGCAGCTTGTTTTCCTGTGGAGTGACCGGAGAATAGCCCTGGAGTTATAGGTGAGTTGAATGTATACTCTTGTGCTTTGTCCTTTTAGAATTAAATATCAGGGTTATCATTCCATTGGGGTGAAAATACCCTCAAAGTCAAAACAGCAAAGTTAATGTTGTTCAAAACACTCTATACTTTATAGAATTGCATATAGTAGTACCTGAGTCTGCATGGTCCTGGGGTAAAAGTGAGAATGATGGCAGAAAGCACTTCAAAGAGATGAATCTGTGTCTTGAATGAATAGTAGTTTTCCAGAAAAGTGGAAGGAAGTGCATATTCCTCAGAGAGAACAGTTATGTAACAGTTGTATAAGTGAACATGCTAGAACCCTAGATTCTGGAGACTTCAACTTGTTACGGCCAGAGCTCAGGATGTACATAGAGGAGCTGTAGAAGATAAGGTTGAAAAGACAAGAGCCAGTTTTCTAAAAATCACTGTGTGTTATGTTTAAAAGTCAGACTTTGTAACCTGGTGGAGGACTAGGGGAGGGATAGCATTAGGAGAAATACTTAAGGTAGATGACGGGTTGATGGGTGCAGCAAACCACCTTGGCACGTGTATACTTATGTAACAAGCCTGCACATTCTGCACATGTATTCCAGATCTTAAAGTATAATTTTAAAAAAAGAAAAGAAAAGAATTGTAATCTGAATAGTTATACAATCAAGTTTTCAGTTCAGAAGGTTACTCCCAATGCACCGTGGAGATTGTATTGAAACCTGGTCTTGGGGTTAGGGCTTGGGATGGAATTTCAGGGAATAATGCTGGATCATAAATTCTCTGTGGATGGTAACAGAACCTTTGTCTTTGACATTACCTTCTTAGCTAAAAACTCAGTTCAAATATTCAGCCACTTCAGAATTCAAGTAACACTTCCTTCTTTTAGCTATGACATTTAAATAGCTCTTATTTCTGGGATAAAAGTGACTTTTGTTCTTGTGGATGCCACACATCATGGATGATACCCATGCTGTGGATCTCATCAAAACTTGAGTGGCCCCAAATGAGTGAGCTGGTGGCCTGGTGAGAAATCCAGCATTCTCGACTTCTTCTTTTTAACACTCTTAAGTTTCATTTTTATGAGGTGCCACATTTTGCTATGCTTTTAGCTGGACCTGCTTGAAATTTCTTAATCTGATGTTTCAGGGAGCAGTAAAAATAATAAGTAAACATGTTCCCCGAGCAATTAATAATGCAAGCCCTGAGCCCAACAGGATTCATCAAATACATAAACTTATCCTCTCCTGGTCAAGATGCTTTAGACTGGAAGTAGTTGAAATATGGGAGGAAGCTCATGCTTTTGTGGTGTGAATTAGATTCTGTGTGTATCTGTGTGCGCTTAGTGCATTTTTAAACTATTGTAAAAACACTATTCTTAGACTCGCCTGAGAGTAACTCACTTGTGGAAAAGGTGGGCAATTCTGTTTTGTGATTACTATGCCTTCCCCCTAGGTCATCTGCTCATCTTTCTTCTTCAAACAAATTAAAATATTAGTCCACTAGAGAAGGACTGTTCTCACTTTTATATGTCACACAGAATGTTTAGAGCTGACTTTACCTGTTAGTGCCAACAGCAGTGATGATGTGGTTATCATGACACCTGCAAATGCCTCTCTTCCTGTGTACTTATTATCAATCTGGGAATGTCGTCACTCCAGTCACCCCAGAATGCTTCCTTATGACTGCATTCTTACTGGCTGTAAGTAACTTTTTTACTCAACAAGGAACGGGCCAGATGGCATGCAGATATATGCTTGAGACTGGGTGAGTCTCATTTGTTCTCTATTTCTTGTTACTTACTGTCACTCCTTGGCTAACCACACATAAGGAACTCACCCTGTGGGCTGCTTTTTGCTGTGCATATCTAACGCGATTATAGTAATGTGCTTTTTATTAATGTTTTTGTTATTATGGGTTTCTTTTTGTCGAAGTTGTTTCAATCTGCCTCATAACTTTGTAAGGTGAAATACAAATAAATTTGATGGTGCAAACAGGTCAGCCAGTATACTAACATATAAATACAATGAATGTTGTCCCCTTCTAATTAATAACCTTGAACTTATTCCAACAATGATGTTACAACTGGAAAATAATTTTATTTAGGAAATTCTCTTTGAAAAATGATTTTAGAGCCTTTTCCTACCAATCAAAGCAAATGATCATTCTCTGAGGGTTGGTTTGATCTTCTATTAAAAAATTCATTGAACAAATAATTATTAGGTGTATAATCAGTGGCAGGCAGTATACCAGGAGCAAGGAGTAAGACAGACATGGTTTCTGCCTTCAAAGACATTTAAGATAAAATCTGAGATGAATGTCTGAGCCCTGGATAATACCTTTATTGATAAAAACGAGATGTGACTATACAGTGACAATCTGAACTGCCTCAAATGACAATTTTAAAGAAGAGATTTAAAACATTTTGAGTAATGGCAGCATCTCAGGAGTAACTCACACAAACTACTCAGAAGACGAATAGTCATTTTTTAAATGCATACAGTATGGTGTATAGAGTTTATAAAACATTTTTATATACATTGTATTACTCTCTTGCCACAAGAATCATGGATTATCAACCAGGTTTGAGTACTAATTTTCTTCACGGTAAAGTGAATGATCTCTAGGAGACTTCAAAGCCTGAAATTCTGTGATATTTATGTTGCTAATTTTATGCATTTACACGATATTGTGAGTTCATTATTTTAGAATAGTTCCCTGTGTTCTATCTGACTGAGGACCATCCTAGCAGAGATGAGCGCCCAATAACTTCTCCTGGGGGTGGTGGGTGCTGGCAGGAGGCCTCGGGCATGGAAACTCGACAAGGAATGAACTAGACTCACTCTCAGTAACGGGGTCAGGAGCAAAGGGTAAATGAAGGTAAAGTTTGAGGTGAGCGAGCTCCCCGGGGTGTGAGGGAGGTTCTAAAATATCAAGTTCAAAGGATCAGGCAGAGCAAGAATTAGACTCAAAGAAAAATGCTGGCTAGACAGATTAAAGAGGTTGAGGAGGCAGAACCTAGAAAGGCTACCCTGAAGAAACAATATTTCTTTGTATGGGATGATAGAGGTAAAGCCCAAGAACCATTAGAGTGAAAAACCGAAAGAAGAAAATCATTTTAAAAAAGATAGCTTTCCCTGCCTTAATCCCATCAGTGGTTAAACAATGAAAATAAAGAGAAAATGCAGCCCTACTCTAAAACTTCACCTCCTCCGCTTTCCCAACCAACAGCCCACTCTTTGAGAAAACAGAGTGTTCATCAAATAGAAAAACATCTTGATGATTGCCAGATAGAAAAACAAATATTTAGGGATTGAATTTGAGATTTTTCTTTATATTTCACTCAACATCTTGAGACCTTCTTTGTCCATATCAAAAGTAAGTTTCTAAGTCCAATTATTAAGTAGATCTAAAAATCTCTCTTCTGTTGAGATGTATACAGTTAGTAAAGATTCCCAGGAAGTTTGTACTGAGACTTTGGCGCGCACGCCAGCATGCGCGCGCGCGCACACACACACACACACACACACACACACACACACGAGGGTATAAGGGTGCAGGAGTAAATGGTGAGCCCTTCTAGGAGATTAGTGTGTGGCTGGGACCCTTTTTAACATCTTTTACTTTGGGCCCATTCTTTCAACTCATTTTTACCACCATGTATCAAGTTTGTGCCTGAGTCACTCCAAGCTTGCCCATCTGTGGGGGCAGCAGATTGTTCCAGGTGAGTTGAAGATACAAGGAATAAGTGTATGCATAAATAATGTGCAAAGGAAGCTGCTAAAACCCTGTTTCTAGAATTTTCTACTTCTATTTTTGTGTCTTTTTTGCCCCTACACACAATTAGTAGTGGTGTTTCGAACTCATCCAAAATTTGATTTTGCATGTTTTCTTGTTTACTTTTTAGTCCTTTACTGAAAGGTTTCTAAGTAGCTAGGTGTTTTTTCTAGTCTGCCATATTCCAGAGTTTTCACACCAGTAAGTCTGCTTACAGACCTTTTTGCTGTGCTGTTGTTGTTGTTTTCTTTTCCCCAACAAATTTATGACATTAGGTCACACTTTATTCGAGAAGCTTTATTTTCCATCTGCTCTCCGTTTTTGCTCTATTATTAGGCTATGCTTCTGGTATTCTGATCCCCCTTCATTTTCAGAACTCTTGTTGACGTCAGTGGGGAACCTAGGCAGAGGAGAGTGTAATGCTGAGCTTGGCTTCACAGTCCATTTTGGGAAAAGCGTCTGACCTCCTTGAGATGGAACTTCCGTTGGGTGGACCCCTGCTCATTTTCTACAGACAGTGGAGCCTATGCATAGTATTTAATGCAACCACCAGTACAGGATGATATACTTGCTCTACCACCCAAATATATTGACTTTCTGTTAAAAGGCTTTTAACATAAATTTTAAGAGATTAACAAAATACATCATAGGCTATTGCTGAGAATGCAGGGTTTTTAACTACGTTTCTCCTACATTGATTTTAGTTCATATATTTTAACCACCGCCTTATTTTACTGTACCTTTTAATTTGTTATTCATTTGTTTGAAACCAGAACTCTGCCAAGGCACTCTGGACCCACAGGAACTGAAATAGTTTGCCTTCATTATCTGGTAGACCTGCTCGAGTCTGTAGCCCCTGACAGAAACCACAAGACTGTACAAACTGGCAACTGTGGGTTTGTCTGTTCTCTATTGATTCTATTTCTGGAAAAAAACATGAACCAATGGGTGAGCCATGTGACTGTACAACTGACCCAAAGCTACCATCAGAAGTGGGATGGAGACCTTTATAGACAGGTCATGATGGGATCTCAACACTTTCCTGTCTGCTTCTTAAGAATGGCTTTCAGTAGCTTTGACTTGAAACTTAACTCCTTGTGTTCTGAAGTATGAAACTGGAGGAGAATCTTCATATTCTATAGCTTGTTATTTAATTTGGGAGACCATAAGTCAAAATGTTCCAAACATCTAATAAAATGTATAATAAAGACCAGATATAAGTTAACTTACAAAATAGCTTACTTCTTTCCTCCATGTGAATTGCAAAGCAACTCCATCAGAAGACTTGAACACACACACACACACACACACACACACACACACACACGTACTTTTCAGACTATGAAACTGCAACTGCTGTAGTGTTTCCTTTTCTTGAGCTTTGGTATTTGCGCTCAGTACTGATCCTTAAGTAAATAGAATGTAGGACTTCTATGTAATCAGGCCAAATGTAAGAGTTCTGGTCTTGGCTCCAATATGCTATGTGTCTTTGGTCTTCTCTCTTCTTCTCCATTAAATGTCAAATGACTAAACGATCCCCAATGTCTGTTCTAATTCTAAGAATCAAAGTGATTAAGAGTCTTTGATAGCACCAGAGAGATCTAGGTAGTAGAGAACACAGGTATGAGAGAACACATCCTATTAAACACACACGTGCATGGGTGCATGCACACACACACACACACACACACACACACACACACTCAACAGAAAAACCAAAATAGCTCCCCTCTCTTCCTCCCCCAATAATGACAATGCAGCCATCTGTTGGACGTTCCATTTTACTTAGCAGCTGTTCTCAGATACAGAAATCTGCATTCCTCCGGCTTGTGCTGGTATGCAGGCAGCATGTGTGGGTACTAGCATTTGACTCTCCCACCCAAAGGAATGGCTTTCATTGAATAAAAGTGATTGCAGAGGTTTCTTATTTCCCCATCACACAAATGCCTTTTTTTTTTCTGATAATAGGCATTTGAAGCCATCTCTGCTACTCTGTGTATTAAAATATACCCTGTTAGAGATATTCATATCAAGCAATCATCTAAAATTGAAGAGGACAACCAGGAAAGGCTTCAGTGAAACTCTTGCCTTGCCAGAAACTTCTACTTTGAAGGAAAGTGGGAGAGGTTGGAATATAAAGTTCCATTCTACTTTTATTTTGTCCACACCCCCAGCATTGCACTTAAGCACTGAGGAATAAGTATTGTTCAAAAAGAAACTAGGAGGCTTTCAAATGTAGCATTAATCTTAACACCAAACTAAATGAAAATATATAAGAGAAATATCCAAAGGGGATATGGAAGTAAAATCTTTTAAATATTCCATGTTCCTGCTGCTCCCAGACCGAACCTCTTCTACAGGCTGAAATTTTGTCTTCTGTGTGGTATATTATATAAAGTGGTATATCATTTAAAAAAAGAAGCAATTGAGTTGGGGGTTGGGAGGAGCTGCAGTTATAAACAACAACAAGAAAGTGTCCTACAGGCTCTGTAGACGAGAACCTTGGGTATAAAATTGGATCTGCTTTTGAGTACATAATTTAGGACATTTGTTACAAGATTACTGTGGTTTTCTATAAATGTTAGTTTGCTGTATTATTTTCCATGAACTAGTTTTCCAAAATGCAGAATATTTTGCCCCCAAAACATGGAAGCACTAAAGCTCGATGAGGCACTGATTCATGGGGTGTCACCCAGAAACAGCTGGTCAGCCATCTGCAGCCCCAGAGTCCTCTTATTTTTACTTTATTCAGCTAATTCTTTATGTAGAGGGGGAAGAAGATGCATAAATCCTGGGAGAAGAGCATGGCTCGTTTAAGAAAATGATGACTAACGCCTGCCCGAGACTGATATCTGGTGGCCTGATGCGCTGATTTGGAGGGGTCCGTTTCCTATGTGCATTAGGCTTTCAACTCTCTACTACGTGTGCATTATTTTCTGTGTATCCTGTTCTTTTGGAAAAGGAAAGAAATGATGATATGCCATTGATTGTTGCATGGGAATGGTTCCAGATTAGAGCACCCTTGAGAACCATAACCGGTCTTTTCAAAGCAAGCAGAAGAGCCTGTAGTATCAAGGACGAGCCTGGAAGTTAGACCTGTATGTTTGTCCATGGGTCCCTCATGTGCTTCTAAATTAGACCTTGTAACTGCCATGGATTCTGCGGTCAGAAAATGTTGGAGGTAAAGGCAGTATTTGACACAAACTAAAAGATATAGCATGATTCATAGCCAAAATCATGTTAAATAAAAAATACTCAGTAAATTTTTAGGCAATGCTGTTTTATTTTGAATTTGACATTAACTGTAGTAAAGTTGTGGATAATTCTATTAGAGTAGTCTTTTGTTTCCCTGAATGAGAAGGGGCCTTGTTGACAGGAGATAGATTGTTATGTTATCCCTTCCTTGTGCTACCTAAGGCGGTTCATTCAAATGACAGAGCCAGATGACTACGTAGGAAGGAAAACCTTCTTCCAATCATAGGAAGGAGGCTTTTAGGTGCACAGGTGTATGCCGCTTACAGGTAGGCATAATTATAGTTTAATCAAATCCTTGTGTGTCTCCGGAGACCACTTTTGGCATACCTTTTAATATTTTTCTTGAATCATCAAAATCTTTTACCCATTCCCCCCATATGTATTGGTATGTGCACACACACACACACACAATTCTTTCTTATTTTATTTCTTTGTCTTGGCTTGTGATCACTAAGGTTTTCAGTTTCTTTCATGACTTACATAGCCACACTAGAAGGTGAATCATTTTATTTTTACAGTTAAAAGGTAGCAAGATAAACTTTCATTGCTACATTTAACCTGTGTGGCATTATTAAACTTGGGACATAATTACTGATCTACTATAATTTTTCTGGTTGTATAATCCTGAAAAGCACCCATGACAATTGACTAGAACAAAAGGTAAATGCACCTTTAATTGATAAGACAGACAATTTTTGTAAAAGAATTGGAAAACCATCTGTACTGTAAACTTTTGTGTCTCTTTTTCATTCCTGTTTACTCTGCTATTCAATCCAAATAAAGATTGTTTTCACCTCAGCAACACAAAAATCACATAGACGATCCTTCAGGCTGTCAGTCAGAGGAAAGATATACATATGCCCAAAGTATACACTTGTGCTTGTTCACAGTGTTATTTGGGGAAAATATGTTGCATGTTCTCCTGGCTCTCCTAGTTTTACATTTTGAATTAATGCAATTTATTCTAATTTATGACAACTGTTTGAAAGGCTTGCTCTCCATTTTTCCGTTTATAAAGAGGTTGTTTACTTAGAGGGGAAAAAGCAGTAGGAAAAGTGGATTGCCTTGCACATTCAGGTGGAAAAAGCGAGTGGGCTTCCTGTCTTGGAGTCAGTGATGTGCACGAGAGTTGGGATTGTAAGGACATCTCTTGTAACAACTTTTTCTGTCTCTTTGGAAATAGGAATGAAATTATGGAGAACCTTTATTCTGCTTCTTAAAGAAAGTCTTATACAATTGAGTTAATTACCTCCCCCTTTTCTCTTGTTCTCTCTTCTTGTATTTATATAGCAGCCATCACCATAGTACCCTACACACGTTGATAAGAATGCTATTTTAGAAAAAAAAAAAAAGGAAGAAGAAAAAAAATAAGCACATGGTAGAAAAGAAAGGTTATTTCTTGTGATAGTACAAGATTCCTCTAGGGCTCAAAACCAGTAAAACAGGTTGGCCCTATTGTACCTAGAACAGTGTCTCAACCATAGTAGATAATTTAAGGAATATTTTTCAATTGGCATTACTAGAATCCATTTTTCTGTCCTTGTTTAAAAACAAAGTCTCATCCCAGTGTGCTCTATCCTGCCTTCATTCTTCTTAGAAGGGCTCTGTTGTGAAAGGACTGCTTGCTGGAGAAGAAGCTGAGCAGAAAGAGAACGACAGGGAGCACGTGTAGATTTCAGGGCCAGCCTAGGATCCAGATATCCCTTGGGGCTTTCATGAAATTCTGTTTCCTGTTGATATATGGTACTTATCTTGTTAACTGTGTACATGTGCATAGTGTTATGTGGATATGTATAACTATAGCCACTAATGTCCTCAAAAGGAATCACAAGTCATAGAGGTAAAAACATTATTATGTACCAGACACTTATAATCCCCTTATGTATATTAACTCAGTTAATTCTCATAAAATCTCTAGGAGGTATATCTATGGTTTTCAGCACCATTTTAAAAATTAAGAGGCTAGACGATGGAGAGGCTAAATAATTAGCCCAGAATCATGGTTAGTAATGATCAGAAAAAGGGGTTTGAACCAAAGTAGTTTCACTCCAGCTTCCATGTTCTTAACTACTATGCCATGCTGACTCTTTCTCAAACTACAAATCAGTTCCATACTGAGTCAGTAATCAGGGCTTGGAATAAACTTTTAGGGTAATATTATTTTAAGACCTAGATCTTACCAGTACAATAATGATCTGCTGAACCTCAAATCTAATCTAGCCTTGGAGTAGGCAACTACAAGACTTTAAGAAAAGACTGCTGTAACTTCTTCTTTGTTTACATGGGTTTACAATTTTTAATGCAATGCATACTTAACCTGCAAAACCCATGCCCTTTCACTAAGAGCATGCATCCATGCATTCATGTAAAGTTATTGATGATTCAATGAGAAATCATTTTGCTTTTGTATATATATTAGTCAATTGGGTGGGAGATAATTCAAACACATAAACAGTTAAAATATTGCTTCAGTATGACTGGTGACATTTACAAAATATTATGGCAGCAAGGAATAAGGGTTTTGGGGTTTAGATGTTGGGGTTAGTGCAGAGTGTGTATGGGGCTAAGGATATGTACATGGAGAACTAGGTTCTTGAATTAAAGTCTTGAAGGGTTGATGAAGAGTTATGCAGCCAGGGAGTCAGGTGAGGACAATCTAGGAAGAGGAAGCAGTTTGTTCCAAGATTTGAAGGTATGACAAAGCATGATGTCCATGAATATGATGTAACTGGAATGAGATGCCAAAGTGATGAGAGGTGGGGCTAGAAGAATGAGTAGGGATCAGACCATGAAGAACCACTGGGTCTCCTATTGTGTAGGTAAAGGCAAACCATGAGAGATGAGTAACAGTTATGGGCTCATCTGATTTTTGTTTTTAGAAATGCACTCAGAAGTCAATGGCCTGGGTGAGGGTAAAACCATGGGGAAAAGAAGCAGTGAAGGGATCTTAAGGCATAGTTATAGACAGTACACTATAATCTTAATACTCAGAACAATCCTATATACAAGACACTATTTCCATTAAGTAGATTAAACAAAACCAAACAAAATTGAGAATTGTTGAGTAACTTGCCCAAGATCTAAGGCAAGTAAATGACAGCTGTTTTACTTTCCCGTTAGTCAGACTCCAATCCTGCCCACTTCCTACTATATCATGCTGTCTCCTATTTCAGTCTCTTAAAAAGTCAACACTCCTAGTCTCCACTTAGAATTACTCAAAACTTCCCTGCACTGTCCAGATTCTCTCTCCAACCCTCTGACCATGCCTGTTCAGCCTCTTCTGTTGCATACCTTCTTCAGCCTTCCTCTCAACTGTTCCTGTTTCTCAAAGTTCTCTCCTCAGTCCTCTAACCTCTCCTCTTTCCTATCATTCCCATCTCTCCCCTGACAAGATCTCTCTTTCTGCAGTAATCCCATCCATTTTGTGCATCCCATGCAGGAACCCTGCCCCCTTAACTTCTTTAACTCTCAACACTGAAAGTGTCCCCATGTCCTGTTGTTGCCATGTTATAGTATAAACAAGTCTCTTTATTGCAAGTATGGTGAAATGATCATTGTGTTTTGCCTATACTATTGAAAGAGCAATTCGACTGGTTTTTACATCTGGCTATCGGATTGATGTTTCTGGGCAGAAGTCCGGCTATACTACTCCCTTGCTTAAAATTTCATTGGCTCCCTATTAAAAATAAAACAAAATGTAATTTTCCAAGATGGTCAATAAGTACCCCTAAATTGGGCCACCAGTTTTTACATCAAAGCTTATTTCCCATTGCTTGGCACATTGCTGGCTGCTAGTAAGTTCTCAACACATCTGTTGAGCAAATGAATGAGTGACTCCAGCTCACGTAAACTGATATATTTTTTAAAAATTAGAGGTATATATAGTCTAAAATAAGGAATTTATTTTTTATTTCAGTTAAGCTATCCCAAGGTAGCTGGTCATACTAAAAATATTTATAAACAGACAAAGCATTGGCACTGAACAGTCAGAATGGGCATGGGCTATGAGTCACTGTACATGTACACTGAAAGGCCTCTAAATTGAATGTGCTTTCATTCACACCAGACAGAACTGCTTCTGCATAGAATTCTCTGACTTTGGACGCCTTTCTTGTGACTTCTTCTGGTTCCTATAGGTTTCGTCTCTGAAGCAACTGAACGACTCAGAGAATGGAAGTAGGATTCACAGATGGGGTCCGGGGCTTTAAGAAGAGAACAGTCCTTGCACTCCTGGTGGGTGTGACTCAGAGAAGAGTACCACCCTCCACGTTTGCCCCTCTCTCCTCTCAAAAGCCCTATAGGAAGATATTTGAGAGTATGTGCATGCAGAATGCCCCTCCTTTTGAGCCATTAGCTTTCCAAGAATTTTTCAGTCCCATGACCACTTTCTACTTCTCTCACTCTTTCACCTTTTTCTGTTAGTTATGAGTGTTTTTACTCTCCCAATACGTTTTACTCTTCTTCCTCCCTCTTTCTTTTCTGCCATGAGCCACCTCCATTTTCTTAATTGAATAAAATTGGAACCTGTCATATATTTAGCATACTCATTAAATAAATGTTACTACCTAAGAATCAAATGAATATTGCTTTTATGATTATTTTTTCTTACAAAACAAAGTTAAGCCAATGCAAAAAATGTTGTTTCTTACTTGGATAAAACCTTGAATACATCTATTTTTTTTGTTGTTGTTGTTCTAATGGGGCAGTGATCTATTACAACTAAAAAAAAATGTACTCAGGTCTGAGTGCTTAAGTAAACAACAAAAGCAAATGAGAAACTGGTATTAATAAGAAGAAAGATGAGAAGAAGGGAAGAGAATGCAAAAGAGAAAGAGGAGAAGATTTCACAGACCAAAAGTTTAAAAGGAAGAAAAAAAATAACCTAGACAAGCAAATGAGAAGCCTGCGATGACTACACCCTTTTTCTGGTCCAGTCTTTCCCTTCTAGACATTGGTGAAATGCCTATCTAGCCAAAGGAAGACTAGCCAGAATAGGGGAAATCACATCTGGTTTTACTCATTAAACAACTGTTTGAGGATCCACTATGTACTAAATCTTGTTCTAGGCAGTTTAGAATCCTAGAAGAATAATGTTCATCGGTAATCATCTGTGTTTCTTTCTTTTTTTTTTTTTTTTTTTTTTTTGAGACAGAGTCTTGCTCTGTCACCCAGGCTGGAGTGTGGTGGCGTGATCTCGGCTCACTGCAACCTCCGCCCCTCCAGGTTTAAGCAATTATCTGCCTCAGCCTCTGGAGTAGCTGGGATTACAGGCACGTGCCACCATGCCCAGCTAATTTTTTGTATTTTTATTAGAGACGGGGTTTCACCATCTTGGCCAGGCTGGTCTTGAACTCCTGACCTCATGATCCACCTGCCTTGGCCTCCCAAAGTGCTGGGATTACAGGCGTGAGCCACCATGCCTGGCCGACCATCTGTGTTTCTTGTCAGGTTTAAAGCAGTTTCTTTGGAGGGAAATATGCTTTTACTTTGTCAGCCACCCTTGTAAGTTGCTTTGTGTGCCACCAAAACGGAAAGCAAAAGTAGGCAAAAGAGAAAATAACAAAATCATGTACATAAATCTCTTATAAAGATTTGTCTTGGATTTACTGTGGAGAGAAGTTTCAGCCCTCTTATTGTATGTGCATCTGTTTCCCTATCCCCAAAAGGCATTAGCGGAACAAACCCCTACTGTACCTGGTGGAAGTAATGCACAGCAGCAACTTCCCTTGTGCGGCTGGATATTAATGCTAATGTACAGGAGTTAAATATAGCACAAAGCTAGTGTGTTGGAAAGAAAAGACAAAGCAACTAACATCACACTGCAAGGGGTGGGGTGGGGGAGGTGAGGAGATGATTATATCCTTAAGCGCCAGGATAGACTGCAAAAGTGGTAAACTGATAAGAGGAGAATGCAACTAGTGAACAGAACTCAGTCATGCTAACCTAATATTCTCAGTGGCAAAGAAAACCCAAGAATGTTGCCTAGATGAGTGTGAATGAGAGAGTCTGGAAAAGACAGAAACCTTTGGTGATGTTTATTAATAAGTGGGTTCAATAAGAAAAATGGGAGTAAGTTTTCTAGTTTTCTCCCACTTCTAACAGGAGACTGTATTAGGTCATACACCACTAGAGTAAGTAGAAAAATGTCCAAGTCCCACATAGTTCCCATTGCCTAAATGTTAGAAACCACCTTGAAAAACTCTAGAAGAAATGCTTCATGGATAATGGCTTAAATGAAGGAGTTTTGTTCTGATAAAGTGATCCAAGGTCATGAGAATTTTTCCTATGGCCATGGAAAATTTTGGTTTCAACATGTGCTGTATCTTTCTCAAGGTGACAGTGTGATGTATTGGTGAAAGTACTGGGTGGGGATTTGGGGCAACTGTATTTAAGAAGTGAGTCTTTCACTACAAATCTATGTAATCTTGAAAAAGTTAAATTCTCAGCATGTTATGATTATTTTTATTTTTTCATTTCTAAACCGAGATGATTAAATCAGATGACCACAACTGTTCTATCTGGTTCTGACATGATAGATTCTCCATGGGCTGTGCCCAGCTGTGCTGTGAGGCCTGAGGTAGAGGAGCCTTACCTCCCTCAGGGCATTAGACACTTACTTTGGGGGAAGATTCTTCTTATACCAGAACAACTGACTCTATAACTGAGTGTTCTGAATGGCTCCTGTCTCTTTAATGGATATGTCTCCAGGGCTTAGGACAGCCATTGGCACTAGGTGCTTAGAAATCTTTGGTAAATGAGTGAAGTACTATCTCCAAGGAAACTGATACTTAAATGGGACTTAAGGAACACTCCTTTCAGGGCATACAATACTGATTGTAACTGGGGTTAAAGCAAGGACTCTGTTCAAATCTCCACTTTATCACTTACTTTTGGCTGACCACAGGAAAATTACTTAATCTCTCTAAGTTAATCCTCTTACAGTGAAAGCACGGTTAGAATTGTGTTTCCCTAATATGGATATTGTGAGATTTAAGCCAGTATTGCATTATTAGCACAGTGACTAGCAAGTAGTGAGTAGTCAATAAACATAACTATACTTAGGTCAGGTTTAAGTTTTGAGGCCACAAAACAAATGGTGGGGAGACTTCTTCCAAAATCATAGTGGATACAGGTGTGTTTTGTTAAGAGTTAGCTAACTAGTTATTGAACAAAAATGAAACAGAGATTTTAAAAACTAAGTTCTCTGTTAAGCTGGATTGTGTTGTGTGGTAAGGGGATCTAGGGAGGTGTATTTAAAAGGGCGATTTAGAGTAAAGAAGAAATAAGCTGGTTGCCAGGTACTATCTAGAGAAAAGTAAATTTGGCAGACAGAATACACAGGATCCAGATTAGATACTGTGATTTGACCTGGGCTTTGGCTGGACATATTAAAACAACATCATCTAAAGATAGTGGGGTGGTGAGCTTGAATCACAGTCTTATTCACTACGGCCAGGTTGCTCAAGTGTCTGGCTAAGGTGAAGGCAAAGTGCACAGAGGAAATTGTTTAAGCTCACATTGGATCCCAGCAAATGTGAGAGCCCGCAGCGATGGTGATGAAGTTCAGGAGTGTGCACGGAGTTTTCTAGAGCATTTTCTGGCACAGCTGCATTTGGATTTGAAGATACCTCCCCATGTAGGGCAGGATGAGAACAGATAATAACTAAGTGGTTGGAAGCAGGGCATTAGCAAAAGCTGGGCAGGACCATAAAAAAGTGTGGTTGGAATGCAAGCATGGACCCAAGCCCTAGAATAAAATTAGGTGCCTCAGAAAAGTCAGAAGGATACGCTCTGCTTCAAGGCAGATGCTGAGGCTTTCTGTTCGAGTTAAATAGCAGGAAAGGGAATGGAGAATTAGGGAGGGAGCTCTTTAGAGACTTCAGGGCCACCCAAGTTTTACTCTGCTCATGGGTTAAATATCTGGTAGGCATCAGAAATTAATTCCAAGTTGCACCATGTGAGATTGACAGTACCCATATGTATTCTGATTTGGTATCATTGGCTCAGAAAAGTTAAGCTGGCTATAGAGACAGATGATAAAGAAACTTGGCAGGGGCTGACACTAGTGCTGTAAGAGAAGAAATAAAAGCAAAGAGAGAAATAAGGAGAAGAAAATGACGCTAAACAACACTGACCACAAAAAAGAAAACTAAACTTTTTAAAAATGAGTAAAAGACTTATTTCTCAGATGCAAAGTTTATCTGAGGCAAAACTGGCTGACGCAGTGGCTGTAAAGAATTTCCATATTTTCAAAGAGCTGGGTCTGAGGCCTGCAAAGAAAAATAAATAAGCCACACTTCCTTTTCACATCTCCTTCTTTTGATGACCTCAAAGGTTAGAAAGAGTGCTCATATTAAAACAGGATGGAAAGGGGCTACTGTTATCTCAAGAATCCCTGGGTCAGTGCTCTAAGAGAGATCTGAAAAAGAAAAGTGCTATCAAGAATTACCTGAGGCAAACTGCTGGAGGCTAAAAAGCAATAGCAAGCATTAAGATAAGAGAAGATTGAGTTTATGTCTATGTAAATAGCCCATAGGCATATCACAACCTCCTACAAGCTAAAGGTCTGCAGAGCAATTGCCATAGGAGAGATTCTGAACATGAAGTAGTGGGGCAGTACAGTCTGGGTAGGTCCCCACCAAGAAATATAAAGAAGGCAAAGACCTTGTAGTCTGGGGTGTAAGCCTTGTGGTAGGAGCCTCTCAAAATGTCATGGGAAGGTAAACAGGCTGTGAAAATCCAGATAGGGTATTCCCTAGGGTTGCTCTGTTTCACACAAAGTTTAGCCATTTCACTAAGTGTTAATTCTTTAATCTGATCTTTACTCTTCCCCATTTTGGAACTTTACAGACATTGAGATTGTCAGTTAGAATTTGATATAGGCCCATGTATTCTTCACTTCTTATGTTTATTGCCTTTCCACATGACCTCAGGTACTCTTAGATGCCTACAACTGGTATGATTCATGAGGTATCAGTGACACATAAATCACTCTATGTTTCTATTACAGTTCAACTATTTTCCTCATGGTGTGACTCACTGGGAATTATCCCTCATGAACAGAGTTTTGCCAACATTTTGCATGATAGGCTTTGGGGGCTGAGACCCAGAAACAGAGGAGTCATAAAGCCTGCATTTGAGTGATTGGTGGAAAAAGCTTAAAAATTATCTAGTTAGTGATAATGTTGGCGCACCATTATTAATTAAAACAGAAGGTTAAATATCATAAGATAAACACTTACATAACCATCCTCAAATTTATTAAATCTGACTCCAATAAAGTAGAAACCAGCAGTAGTTTTAGTACTTACCTGCTCATCACGTCTGAGGAAATTCCCAACCACACCCTACGTTCCTTTCAAGTTGGTCCCTTTTCTCTTACATGAGTTACAGTGGTGAATTAGACATTCTTTGACTAAATATTGGACACAGCTTAGTGCAGGTAAATTGTCTTCAAGATATAGAGCAATCTAAAAACTGATTAAGACCTGGAAACCATTTTTGTTTTCAATTATTCTCCTTTATTTTGTACAGATTTACAAACTTTTATTTATTTACTCACTAATCAATTCAAACAGTTTTATAGGAATAACATAGTTAAAATAAATTTGAAAATTGAATCACTTAAAGCATACTAAGTACATTGTTTAATTACTGTCTATTATAATAGCCTTTTCTAAGCACCATGGGAAATTTTCAGAGTGCAGTCAGGGGATATGACTTGACCATGCAAAGGATTGATGTGATTTGAATAAAGAATAGAGAATAAAACATTTGTTTGGCTTAAATTGGGCAACTTGATTTAAGAAGCACCAGAACAATACACAAAACTACATATGCCATCCAACCCTGTCAAGAAATACCATTCCAATGCTGTAGGGCTGTGCCAATTCATTCAGAATGCCATCTTAAGCCTGCCTCATATGGCAAGTCAGTAAAGAGTCACAACCATTTCCAGTTTCCTTTAATCCCTGGGAGATGGATTCAAGAGGCCAGTCTGCCTTTTTCACATTGCTGGGGAAATAAAGCAGAAACCACAAGTTTCCCTGATTGCTTCTAACTTTATAGTGCTCAGCAGTCATACAGAGCAAGTAATCCTCCAATATATGCTGATTTTTATTGAGGACTGCAAATATTCAGACTCCAATTCTTTTTGAAATAAAGTAAGACAGTGAGTAATAAATAGAAACTTCAGAACAGGCAAAACTAATTCTATTTTGAGGCTCCAGTAGGTTTTTTTTTTTTTTTTTTTTTTTTTTCTATTGTTTAGGTCAGGCAACCATCATTGAATGGTTATAGTTGGTTCTTGCCAGCTATTTGCCTACTTCGCCACTAGGGATCCCGGAAACTATTTTGACAATATGATGGAGTCTTATATTCCACCTTGAAGGGTCTTATCCACATGACCTTTGGGAGATTAGTAGTAGGAAGTGTACTTATTTTCTCTCAATTTGTTCACTAGTGACCGGAATAAACAATCTTATTAGGTAGCACAACTAAATTCAGTGGCAAAGTAGAAATGAATAAACTTTGATTTTTACTGGCACTGACACAGTTCAGCCAGAAAGCTGGGGCACGCTAAATTTCTTCTTTCTAATCTCCTGAATGTAGTTAATCACCAACCCTCCTCTACTTTGCTTTCTAAGTTGTTCTTTATCCTCTTCCCTCCTCTCTGTCATCACCACCATTGCCTTATCATCTTTTCTGGAATGCCATTTTTGCCTTTTAGTTGGTGATCCTGCTTCTCTGTTCACAGCAATCCAAATCAGTTTACACATTATTGATACTACTGTTTTTCTAACATTCTTATCAGATAGCATGAATCACCTTGATTAAAAACAAACAATAATGACAACAACAACAAATCCAGGACCAAACTCCAGTGGCTTTCTATCGCTTGAATGTCAAAGTCCAGTTTTGAACAGGATTTTCAGTACATTTACATTTTGGGCCCTACCTATCTTGCTGGCTTCATCTTCTGCCATACTTCTCCATGCTTCTAGTACACTAGCCAGACTGAACTATTTGCAGTTCTCTACGCCTGCTATGGGTGCTATATGCTTTGTCCACCTTCTCCCTCATCCATTTTCTCCCTTATCCATGTTGCAAACTCATCCTTCAATTTTTTGCTCAAAAGTTACATTTTCATAAAACTTTTCTAGAAAGCTCTTACCTCCTAGATGAGCTTAAATGGTCCCTTGCTCTATGTGTTCTGAGCACATTGCACATTTCTCTGTAATATCATTTTCTCTCATTGCATTGCATGCATACCTATACTCCCTTCTACATCATAATGGGTTGAAAGATCATAGTCCCTGCTTTTTTCCTATTTGTGTCATTAGCAGCTGACATAGTGCCTGGTATTACTGTCAACAAGTACTTGCAGAATTGATTAATACATAGACCTACTGGTTTGTTTTCCAGTTATAACTGGTAAATGGGCATTTTTCTAATATAGTCGTTTTCAGATGAGTTCTTAAAGGACCTGTGAAAGTTGTTTGGGGTCTTCTTGGTTGCAGGAAATGAGATAGGGAAGCTCAAAAAGAGAGGTTCTGGGTTTCCAACCCTGCGTTGGTTAGAGTGGTTCTTCTGTTATTTGTCTCCTATCTTAGGGGTTAACATAAGACTTTATGTCAAGAAGTTTCTACTTCCCAAAGAAGTTTGAAAACCACTGTAAATGATGTGGCCCTTGTCAGCTCTGAGATCGTCTCTCTCCTCACTGCAAAACAAGAAAAATAGCCATTTCTAGCCAAATATTAAGATGCTATTTAGTTGTCAGAAATTTGGTACTGGGAGGATTTATGTAGCTTTCAAGTCAAATCATTAAAAAGGACTTTGAGAGTTCTCCATTAAATTATCTTCTTTTTGAGATGCTTCAGTGAGAACAGTTAAAAGTTGAAAGTTGAAGTTAGAAGCTTTGGACTTGTGACTCTTCTCCTTCACCACCTAGCTCTGCTATTTTCAGTGTACCATTTACAATCTCTGAATCTCTGCTTCACCATCTGTTAAAAATTGAAAAGGAGGAATATTTCTGTTTACCTAGTAGAGATAACATCTATAAAGATAGCTTCTAAACTATATGGCACTATGATCATACATGTTCACAAAAATCCGTACTGTTTCTTCTTCATGTAGCTGGACTACATTTCTTGCCTCTGTTTCTATGATGTAGAACCATCTGAAAAATATTCACTAGTAAATTAGGAGTAGAACTGCTGTGTGTTATTTCTGAGCCAAGGATTTTAGAAAAGAAATATGCTCCTTCCATTCTTTTCCCCTAATTTTTGCATCTAGATGTAGGTAATTATCAGATGTCAATGAGTGGTGAAGCAATAAGATTAAAGAATGCTAGGCGCTTGAATTACTGTGTGGAGGAGAGCTGCCTGTCACCAAGAGTATTCTCTTTGAAATATTATGTAAGCGAAAGATAAACTTCATTTATGTTTGAGCAGTTATATAGTCTTGAATCTATTTGCTACTGTAGCCTGTCCTGTCCAAATGAATTTGGGTGCTTTACAACCATAAGATGCTGTTGTTTGTATGATCATGTCACATTATCGTCAATCATCACTACCCCATGTGATGTACTTGGTGAAGGAGGCTGTCAATAGAAGAGGAGCCAGGTTTGAGTTCTCTACTACAGACTCATTAACATGTTTCTGTCACAAGTCTGTGACAATGTTGATTTATTTAATTAAATTTAAAAACCTATTGTGAGTGTCCAGGGTCACTGCTAACTGAAACTTCATTTTTTGTAAGAGTTAGAAAAAGGTGCTTCTCCTAGAGGAGGCAGGGCTTTCCTGTTGAAGGGAGTGAAAGAATGAGGCAATCCTCCTTGGCAGATTCAGGGTAGATTGATTAGAAAAAATCTTCCCCTGTGTGGTGATACAACCAACCTTACATGGCTTGACAGACAGAGGATGGGCTATGAATGCTTTCATATTCAGAAAAGAAGGAGCATAGGAACACATATTCAGAAAAAAAAGAGCATAAGAACATTCCATTTAGATGGCAGAATGTGGGCCAAAAAAATATTAAGGTGCCAAAATGCACAGCTAATTATCTGGTTGACCTAGGGCATGAGGATGGAGAGAGATGAGAAAAAAAGATAGATTGAAACCTTATCATGAAATTATTGAATGTCATCATGAGTAGTTTAGATATTATTTTGGGCAAGGAGTATCCATGGTAGGATTCTAACAGGGATGTTCTATAAACTGTATGAAAGGGGTTTTGATGGGAGTAGCCTGGACACACAAAGGGTTATTGGAATTATTTGGGCAAGGACTAAAGAGAATCTAAGTTAAGACAATTACAGTATGAAGAGAGAGAAGATGGATTTTGGAACAAGACTTGAATACTTTCAGATGTGAGAGAGAAGAGAATGTGGAAATAAAAATTAAGACTAAGATGTAGGGTCTGGGTACATAAAAGAAAGTGATATTCTCAATAAAGATTGGGATGCCATGAAAAGGCACACATTTTTATAGAAGATGAGTTCAGTTTTTAACTACTTGAGTTTGATTGGACCTGTATAGACACAAGTTATACATCCTGTGTCCACTTTTAGGTTGTAAATTTCAAACACTTAAAAGGTTCTAATAATTAAATATATTAGCCTAATAAATATTCAAGCAACCATAAGATAGTAAGATTATCCTCATTTACAGGTAGTTGACATGTTTGAAGTTACACAGTTAGAAAGTGGCAGAATGAAGATTTTAACTCAGGAATTAGACTCAAAAATTCACGTTTTGAACTTGCATGGTATGAGGCTTCTTGTAAACTCACTTAGGGAAAGAAAACTTCAACAACCAACAAAGAAAGTAGAGTGTAGATTGTGGACATTTAGGATATTTTAAGTAATTTTTACAAATCCAAATTCTTCTAGTGATTTTTTTTCTCCTTAGTTGAGCATTCTGCATCTTTGGAAGCTTCTATATCAATAGGTACTATCTAATAGTAATGCTTTTTCAGACAGAAATATGTTTCAGGAAAAATTACACAAAATTATATGGGAATGAGAAAAAAAGTGGGATCTGTTATTAGGTTCTGTCATAGACAGAGGAGATTCTCAATCATAATCATATGTTAGTGCCCTGTGAAGAAAGCTAAAATAGTTTGTCAGCCTGGGCCCTCACACCCAGCCTTGTTCTGTATGGTTGGTCTTTAGCCAGAGCAAATCCTCCCAAATGACAGCTGTCAACTGTCACAGGTTACAGATTAAAGTGATAAACTACTCAGAATAGTGGATACAAATACTACAAACTCAGAGACACTAAGCAGAACCCTTTATAACTAGATTCTGAGCACTAAGAGTAGATTTCCACTATTCATACCCATTTCTTGGGACAATTTTGACTTCACAGTAGCATGAACAACTGGAAATAGTTTCTTTTATATATATATATTTTTTATTATACTTTAAGTTCTAGGGTACATATGCACAACATGCAGGTTTGTTACATATGTATACATGTGCCATGTAGGTGTGCTGCACCCATTAACTCATCATTTGCATTAGGTATATCTCCTAATGCTATCCCTCCCCCTTCCCCCAACCCCACAACAGGCCCCGGTGTGTGATGTTCCCCTTCCTATGTCCAAGTGTTCTCCTTGTTCAATTCCCACCTATGAGTGAGAACATACATGGAAATAGTTTCTTAATGCTACTTTTCAGTTCATCTGGTCCTTTTAATTGAAGTCTCTGCCCTTCTATACCAAATTCAGAGATAAGATGTTGCTATGGTCTGAATGTCTGTGTTCTTCTAAGATTCATTTGTTGAAATCTAACCCTGAATGTGTTGGTATTAAGAGGTGGGGCCTTTGGGAGGTGATTAGGTCATGAAGGCAGAGAACCCTTGTGAATGGGACTAGTGCCCTTATAAAACAGGCCTGAGAAAGTTTGTTTGCCCCTTTGCTCTTTTGCCATATAAATATGCATAGAAGGTGCCATATATGAGAAATAGGCACTCACCAGACACTGAATCTGACTATGATTTGATCTTGGACATTCCAGCCTCCAGAACTGTAAGCAATAAACTTTTGTTTATAAATTACTCATGTGAAGGTATTTTGTTATAACAGCCTAAATAGACTTAGAGAGTTGTGTATGATAATAATCCAATTCTGTTATGTTTTCTTCATATCGTAAAACATTTTCAATGAGAAGTGATTGGTAAATTAACAAAAGTAAACTGATGTCTCTATAAGGTTTGGTATGTGACAGGATTCAGTATGCAGGATGAGTTGGGTGGTCACATGCCCCAATTTTCCCTGGACAATCCTGATTTACCTCTGATATTCCAGTGTTATTATCAATAAGTTCTCCTTTCACACTCTCAAAAGTGTGAGAGATCACTACTGAGGAAAGCATCAAGAATCTTGGGCTATAGATCTAGAGCCTTGATTTTATATTTGTTTAGGTAGATAAGTGTGGCTGGTTATTTGAAGGCAGTCTCACAGCTTCCTGTATACATAAACAGAGTGTAACAGGAGCTAAGGTACTAATTACAATACTCTACAGAACTCTTCTCTACCCATTTTAATCATCACTTTATCTATAATTTGATTATTGAATGATGAATACCTGGATTATTTACCTAAAACAAGTAGAAATATAAACCTGAACAAATGTCATGTAACAATAAGCTATGATATGACCTAGTGAAATGAAACAGAAGCTGGAAATTATCTATCCCAACATCTAATCTCCTCTTTCTTCTTCGTATAAGAACTCTGAATTTATTTTGGGGTGGCAATGAGTCAAGCTAACGACTACATTTCCCAGAGTAGCAAGATTTGCAGCAAGACGTGCAATGTGACTAAGTTCTGGTCAAAGTAATGTATTCAGGAATGTGTGTTACTTGCTGGAAGTCTTTTTAAGAAAGGAGGGAGCAGAACTTTCTTCTTCTTGCTATTTGGAATGCAGTGGAATGCCTAGAACTGAAGAAGCCATCTTCAACCATAAGTCAACACACCAAGTCAACATGTGTGTTGCAAGAAAAAAAGTATGCTGGTTTTCTAATGATCCTGGAGCCATGAAATTAGTTCTAGACTGCCTACTTCTGGATATCTTCCCTGTGAGAGGAAATAAAACTCTTTTCTTGTTTATAACACTGCTACTCTGCTGTTTGGTCACTTGCAAACAAACAATTCTAATTGACTCAGGAAGAAAACATGAAATTTCATATATAAACTTCAGAGTGGTTAGCAGGGAGCATTGAGGAAAGTGGGAATGTGCTGGAAAGGAAGGGAAGGGTACAGAAAGGGGAGAACTTCTTTAAAGTGTTCATTGAACTTTTAAAAAGGCAACTTGCCATTTAGTAGAAATTTAACTACTGAGAAAATCAGATGTATCTTATTAGCGTTGGTGTGTTGCAGTTGTGATACTGCAAGTGTGAGCAGTAAAATGCACTGAGTATGTCAGAAGTAGCCTTAGCTTTCCTAGCTGGATTAAAACAATAAAGTATCCAAATGCCTGTACTTCAGCTTGGAGTCTTGGAATGTCTGGACAACTTTCTTTAAAGGAAGGCTTATTATAAAGTAGTGTAGTATCAATTGACTACAAAACGCTTTCACAACTTCCCAGAAGAGCTTCAGCTCAATTCAGCACAATATGACTGGGTATGACTACCCATTACAATATGCTAGCACGTGAATTCATTATGTGCAATATCTAAGCCCATCAATGTTGATCTAAGCATTTTGATAGCCAGAGCTGATAGATCCATCTTAATACAAACTCTAAAGTTTGCGCTTTCAGGAATACATCATGAACACGTTGCTTTACCTCTCTGTGGAATCAGAGGGCTTACACTTGGGTATCTAAGGGCTTGCTAGGAGTGGGAGCAGATGGTAGTTTTTATATGTTCTTTTTATAAATTCATTTTGAGCAGGTTTTTTTTTTTTTGCATGAATATTTCATTTATGACAGGGTGCTGCTTAGTTATATAAAAAGTAAATACATAACGAGCGAGGTGTAAGTATAGCAGCAATGTAGTGTTGAGGCTAATGGGTGGAGAGGGTTTTAAAAATACAAAGAATTCTCATTTTCAAAAAGTACTCTGCAAACTTTAAGAGATAAGTACGTGATTCTTTCCTGTTTCTTTATCCCCATCCCCCACCCCCCTCCTCCCGCACATTCTGTTGTGTGCTTGCCCAGGAAAAGAGGAAGGTTTTTTTCAAGAAGTCAAGCATTGGATTTTTGATCTTTATTAGGAACAATATTTCAATGAGTTTGAGAAAGGACAGAGCAGCTCACTTAAAGTGAAAATAGCAAGGGCAAGCACCACAAACAGAAGCAGCGTAAGGTTAGGAGACCCAGGGCGGCTGTATATACAATCATCAGCAGGAGGAAGGGAGGATGGCAAATAACAGCTGCCATAAGCAGAAATGATGGGCCTTGATCTTCACATGGGACAGGTGGCCAAGATATGCCATATACTTCCCATTGTGCAACATCATGTATATTGTCACAATGTTCTGGGATTCGAAAACTGTTTCCAAGCTTATTCTGCCTAGAAAAAGTATTTAAGCCAACTTGAGAATATATCAAATCCCACTTCCCTATGAAGTTGTTTTAACCTAGGTGTGTATTATATATTGACGCAATTAATTGGAAGGTTTTTTTTCTTATTCATAGCTTCATTTTAACCTAAGTTGTATTAGTTGTGACCTAAAACTAAAAAGAAATAACTAAGTTATTAAAACTTCCGTATTTTGTCATTATTTCAAATCTTGTATTGTGAAAGAGGAGATACTGTGGTGATTTTATGCATGGTATTCAGCAAAATACAAATAACATGAATGTCTTGATCTTAAAATGTAATTAAAATGACATTCATTTCTGCAATGATCTAAAGCTAATGTGGGTTGTAAGAAGGTAACTTTGTGTTATTCTAAATGTTCCCTAAAGATAAGGACTTTATTTTATATGGCAGATCCTCAATATTCATGAGGGATACCACAGTCCCAAATTCATGAATGTCAGTTTAACATGTAATTGTCTCCATAAAGCTTTTATTTCCTGGATTAGAACCATCACTTTCTTGGATAGTTTTGCTTCCACTTTACTTTTATCACCAGAACTAGTAGCTGACTTCATTTGCTGGAAAAGTACTCACGAAGAAAATATTTATTTAAAAAATCATATCATGAGAATTATTACATAGTAACTTGACCACAAAGAGAATATCTAAACCACTGTGAGAAGATGTGTGGGTCAATCACAAAGGCACACTCTAGCTAAAGGATTCCTGCTAGAAACCAGCCTCTTGCCACATGTAATTCAATTTCGTGCCTCAGCAAAATTACAAATTGCTGCATGTCATGAACCCTTGATTATTGCTTGAGGGTAGTCAAAATAACAATGTTAAATCCTCTGTCAGTAATACATTTCTTTGTATTATCAAAAAATCACTAACTACAGTGACTTCCATGTAATAAATTATCAATGAACTTTTAGTTTGGTTGATCATCTGATTGATTAGTATGTGATTTAGTAAGAGCAGAATGGATAACTTGTTGGGTAGGACAATGGAACTCCACCTGAGTTACTCTTTGGCTCTCTCTAGTACTTCTCTGAGACGTAATTTAGTAGTTTTAGTTAAGAATAGCATTAGACCAATGGGTGCTAAGTAGTGCTACAGCTGTTGTTAGGAGGGGAAAAGGATTACATGGAAAACAAATGTGGTCTGCATAGAAGGAGTGGATAAAAGCGTTAGGATGCCTTCTGAACATTGCTAACTTTATGTTGAAAATATTTTTAGATATTTCCTGAAAGTTGGCTGTAACAAGTCATCAAATCAACAAGTCAACTTCTCCCTCAAGCCAAAAGTTTATTTATTACAAACCTCAAGAACATGTATCATGGAGATTCTTTTGGTTCAGCCAGAAATCTTAGGTCACACATAGAACAATTTGTCATTTATGAAGAGTGTTGAAAGATGTATATACTGTATTTAATATAAAAATGATCAGCTGTACCTGGACTTCCCATCTGCCCTACAAAGAATTTTACATATTTGGAAATATTAATTGAATGCATAATATAAACACATAATTGTTTCATATTTTCTTGTTTCCAAATGTGTATTTTGCTCAAAAATTCAGTGTGAGTACAAAATTGGCCCTTCCCACATGGAATTTTCTTCTTGGTAATCTGCAAGTTTGGTCAATTTCTGTATCAGAGAAGACATAGTTTTTCACCAAATAATATTTAGAGTTTTATAAAAACTCAGATTTCCATAAAAATCAAACAAATGTTTTTAACGAAGAGAAATATGTTTAATTTTTTCTTTCAGTTCCACTTTTTGATTCTCACTAGATCTTATTTTATTTCATTCAGGCTTAGGGCTTGAGGGGCTATTATCTATTTTTAAGTCTGATTTAAATGTATGAGATTTCTCTTTCCCTCGCTCTGCTCTGTCTTACTCTCTTTATCTCTCTCTCTCTCTGTCTCTCTTTCTCTCTCTGATACTATAAAGAGCAAAGGGGAAAATTTCCTGAAGAATATAGAGTGGATTAGTGGAAATGATCATTGCATTTAAATATCAATAACAGTAAATTGTTATATCTTGAGAGCTCTGTGAATTAGGGGAAAGAAAGAATTTTGGATACTGGTGAGAAATTTTAAATGTGAGTTAGAATGGCAGCCAGGAACAAGAGATTTTATTGCAAGTTAGGTAGAGTTTATTGATTAAAGGACAAATATGGGAATGGAGGAAAAAAAAGAGAAGTCAAATCAGGGCAAGTCAGTGAAGGAACTTGAAACCGAGGGTTAAAAAATCTTAGTTTCAGTGTTCAGGACAAACCAAATATTTAACAAAATACTATACTCCCTGTATGTTTAAAGTGCATCATAATACAATGTGGGGGGGTTTAAGAACGTTTATGAGACAATTTCCTGGGATCAGTTTTCCTTCTGTTATGTGGACAGTGATTTCCAGTGCTAGAATGAAACTACTGAACTCTCCTCACAAATTGCCACTCTTTCAACATCAGCATGAATAATGTGTATGAGAGATAGCACAGGAAGAAGAATTCAGATTTATAAAAGAGGAACAGCAGATGCTGGAAACCCTAATTGTGGTTATTGGGCAATGTTGTCTCGTCCCTAGCTCAAGACTTTGATACTTACTGACTTTAACAGAGTTGTGCAATTCATGGACATGGGAATTTAACTTGGCTGAAAATGAATGTATTTTACCTGATAGTTTTCTCAAGGAGGTGATGGTTCCCAAATGTCTAAATTAATATTTTGACTGAATTCCACCACATATACCTCATCTCTATAGAGCACAGTGGAAGGCTTGTGCTTTGGAGTTGATTAACGGAGGACACAGGATTAGCACATAGTAGACTAAATTGTAAATGACTGAAAATAAGCTCATTTGTGTCTATTTATTCATCCTTATTAATAGTTTTGGGCACTTAGAAATGCCTCAAGGAAAGGCAGAACTGCAAGTAAATAAGTTTGTGAATACTACCATTAAACTCTGGGGTATTTGAAATACACAAAAGTGGCAAAAATTAATGGATACCCAAATCTCAAGAAATCAGATTTTCTAAAATACGTTTATAATTCCAAGTTAAATTATTGCCTCTTGAATACCAAATATTTACATGTTAGCATGTAGGTCATATAATAGCTCAATAATTATTTGTTCAAATGTTGATTTCAAAAGTTATTAAAAGAGTTTTGTTTAAGTAGTCTTCAGTGAAATCCTAATGCACTCAAGCCACTGAATTTTAAAGATCATTACTGAGCAACAGTTTTTATTTTCTTTTAAAAAATATATTGAAATAGCTGGATAAGGACCATAAAAAGTGGTAAATCAAATACTAATTAAAAACAATTTAGAACTTCAACTTTTTAACCATGAAACCTGTAATACTTTCATATGTCTTGGAAGTTTTTAGAAAAAAGTTATTTTCATGAAAGAAGAGGGCAGAAGAGACTGTTGAGCAGGGAAAATTGTGCTGAATGAGGAATCAGAATACCCACGTTCTAGAGTCCCAATTCGGTTGTATGTGGTTATAGAACCTGGAAATTCACCCGATTATCTGAGCCTCATTTTTCATATTCCTAAAATTAAAGGATTTGTATAAATAATGTATAAGCTATGATTCATCCCATATAGTCTGTGGTTTTATTACTTTGTGATACAGTATAGAAGTCTGCAAGCTCTCTTCTAAAAATTTTCCTTAAGGTTCCATTTGTTTCAGTGCTAAAGTTAATGTTTTCCCAATTTATTTGAAAAAAATATATATTAAGTTTTTCCAATTCAATGTTTTCTTTGAAAATCTTTCTCAAAATATCGGTAACTACCACTACCTATTTATATGAGAATAAAATACAAGTGTTACCTGATTTAGCATAGATCTTGGGTTTAGATATTTTTAGTTTAATACACTATGATGGCTAAGAGGTGCTCTACACCAAATCTGTCAGGTAACACTGTTCTGGTTTACTCTCTTATTCCCTGTCTGTGCCGAGCAAATATCTGAACTTCTCAGGGACTCATGTCTTCGTCATCAACTGGTTCATTCTAATAACAACCTAGCATTTCATATAACAGCACATACTCAGTGGGTTTACTAGGGAATTCAAACTCAGGACATCAAGGAAATAGGAGAGTCCCCAAGGCACTTATAAGGTGAAGAGTTGGGGAAAGGGAACAGGTATTTATAGTACCTTTCAAAACATACAAACAAGGTTGTAGCTGATAACTGCTAGACTTGGTAGAAAAAGTAATTTTGGATAATATTTTGTGTTCCAAGGAAATTATACAAACCAATAACTAAGTCTCTTGTGAAAAAAAAAGTGACCAAATCTTGCAAGGCAAGTCTGTATGCTGAGGAAGGTTTCTTATCAATCGTAATTTATTTGCTATAGGAAGTAAACTTTCTTCAGCTAATCATAATTGTCCACTAACTTTCCATTCTTACTTAACTATTTCTTAGGTAAAACATTTGTAACTTGTAGAAAATAAATATTATTTCTATCATAATGAGCAAGTCCCCATACTAGTACATAACATACTTTTACAATAAACATGTGCATCACAGAAATATTCTGAGTTGAAAAGCTCTGATTGATATACCTAAGGATTTGCCTATGACTGTTTTTATGTACACACACACAAAAACACACACACACACACTCCACATTGAAACAAGACTGTGCCAAAGTAAGAATGTTATAAGCAAAGTTTCATTTTTCCTGATCTTAAAAAACCTGAGAACCAGGCGGGGAGCAGTGGCTCATGCCTGTAATCCTAGCACATTGGGAGGCCAAGGTGGGCAGATCGCCTGAGCTCAGGAGTTCGAGACCACCCTGGGCAACATGGTGAAACCCTGTCACTACTAAAATACAAAAATTTAGCTAGGTGCGGTGGCGTGCACCTATAGTTCCAGCTGCTTGGGAGGCTGAGGCACTAGAATCTCTTGAGCCCCAGAAGTGGAGGTTGCAGTGAACTGAGATTGTGCCACTGCACTCCAGCTTGGGCTACAGAGTGAGACTTCATCTCAAAAAAAAAAAAAAAAGCAAAGACGAGAAAAGAAAGAAAAAACCTGTGAACCATCTCAAAGATAATTTGAGGAATTGGCAGATGATGGAGTTCTAAGGATGTAGAACAGTTTCCCCTCATGTCTTGAGGCCCAAAACCTACAATTGATACTCTGATGAAAATGTCTGTTCTGTAGACATCCTGACATCTGGAGGATGAGCAAAGGAAAGGTGTCAGGGAAAGCATGGTTGGAGACACAGGAAAAAAAAACCCTGGGCATACCATGTCATCAGTTCCAAAGGAAGAAAAATTATAAGTGGAAGTGGTAGTAAATCATGTTGCATATTGCAAAGAGAATTTGCAGGTTTCCTGAGAATTCTCAATTGATTGGTCATAGTGAGAGCCAGATTATAAGTACCAAGGGATCATGTCACAATTAGGAATTAGCATAAAGTGATGACTTTAACAAATTTATCGTATATATGGAGAAAAAAATTACTGCAGAATTAGAAGAACATAGCCTTATCAAATTGCAAAATGGCATCATGGTTTCAGTAGCTCATGAGGTTTGTTTATGTTTATAATTCTGTTTGAATACATATCTTTTTCTCATGTATAAACTATTTTTCTCCAATCAATCAGGCTTCTGAGAGCTCTAGATTTCAAATGTGACTCATGATGTCATTTCATCAGCCACTGATGCTTTCCTGAATTTGGTGATATCTGTGGCAATCTTTCATCTTCTGTATTCACAGTGTCAGGTGGTCTTGGCCATTCTGCCATACAACTGTCGGGGGAGGCAAGTTCACCTCTGACCTCAACTCTTTCTCTTTGGTGTGGGTAGACTATGGGCAGGATACTGCTATTTCTCATACATTTCTTATAGTCATAGCTGTCTTTCACATGCATCACTGAAGAAACTACAGATATGTTTTATTATTTCAGTATTGTGATTCTACTTGACAGAGACAAAAATTGCCCTAAATCATTCCTCTTTGTTTTGTTTTGGATTCTTTGATGCCCATTCTGTAAATTCAAGGCAGACAGAAGACACTACTCTAGCAATCTAGTTTACTTCAACTATTTGACCTGAGAACATGTCCTGCCTATTCACTAATGATGGATCTAGATGAGATTTCCCTCTGATTTTCAGACATGATCGTGCTATAATTATTTAACTCACAGTATGTATTCAGTGATTGCTTTTGTTTTTAATATCAATTAATTTTGTGGATATTCCTTTAAGAGGCCTAAAATAATAGAGTGGATTGCTGAACATTTCTCTCAAAACAAGATTTTCTTTAAAACTCATTGCAAGACACTTTTCTTTATTCCTTTGTAAAATATCGTGCTTTTTTTTTTCAGCTACATAAAAATAACCAGTCAGTGTTTTCCAAAAAGCTCTATGGAAACTTTCTATGATGTCTTTTCAAGAATATGTTCAAAACATACAATTCTTTATTTATTTTGTCTTATTAAAGTTTCTTCATGTTCATGTCATACATTTTTTTCAGGGTTTCTTGAGACAACATTTTTTAGAGTAAATGCTAGTTCTGATTATTAAGGTGCTTGCCAGCTATACTTTTTTTGCGGAAATACAGACAGTAGTGGACACTTAAGCAAAACTATTTTGCTACTAGTCATTGACTAGTCTCTTGGGCCTCGGATAATAACATATTCTGCTTTTTTTGTAGTTAAGTGAACATGTGCACATATATAAATTTACTCTTTGAACTTTTTTGAGGATATTTCTTTAGTCTTCTCTGGCTTTGTGAGGTGAGTTATGTGGTCTTGTCACCTTCTAGCTTGCATGCAAGTGCAGAATGGAGAGTTCTGAATATTTATTTACAATGAAGTAATAATTTTTCTGGACATTCTTTTACATAACATTATATGAACTTTTTCTTTAGTTTTAATTTGCTAATAGTCTCTAAGAATATAGAGTAGTTATTGTTTTTGGCAAAAAGAATGTACAGTATGATATATTGGAGACATGGTAAACAAGGTTGAATCAACGGTAAAAATTTTAATGACCAGTATTTTAATTTTCTGTATTTTAGTTTTAGATGTTTTAATAGGCTTTAACTTTGTATCAGCCAAGAAAATGGTAGGAAACATCATTCACCAGATGGCTCAAATAAAGAGACAAGAAATTAATTACAGAGGTGTGAGAGGAGCAAAGGAGCAAACAAAGAAATAGTGAAGATCCAGAGAATAGCAACAGTGGAAAGTTGTTAACCTGCTAGGACCTGAACAGAAGGAAAAAGTGTTACTAGAGTCCAGTGACTACTAGAACTGTGGAAAAGGAAACCAAGAGGCAGATGAAGCTACTGCTAGACATACAGTGTGAATGCAGGTAGGAACTGGAAAATAAGCTATGGCTTTCTTCTCTTCCCATGGTCTCATCTCCCTCCAATGCGTCCCATTGGTTGACCTTGACCAGACGCCAACTAACAAGGGAGACCAGTTGATAAGTAGTAAAGGGGAGGAGATGGATTTGGGAAGACAAAAAAGAATAATCACCAACAACTTTTAGGGATAAAAGCATCTTTAATTACAGTAGTAGTTTTATTTCTTTTTACTGTAGTTTCAGCAGCAATACCATAGATTGAGGAGTAGGTGTGCCAATATATAAACAAACCAATATGACAAAAATGACTAAAATTCATTTTAGATTTCACACAGTTATTAATTAGCTCTATTGTATTTCTACAGGATTTAAACACCTTTATATTATTGGTTTTAAAAAACATTGTGTTAATTGTCTGAGCTCTTTTTTTTCCAAACAGTATCCTATAAAAAGTATCTCTATTAAAGAAGAAAACTGGAGATGGCTAGTTGAAATAGCAGTCTGTAGTCACTCTCCTCAAACACATTTTTCTAGCCCTTATCCTAGAAAAGCCTCTAAAGATCCTATTGGGAACCCCTGGACTCCAGGAAACTCATTTTGAGATACTTCGTTTTATATGAAGAAATTATAAATGGAATTTTATATTCCTTTTTAAATACATCTGTGGAAAGAAATGCTATGTCTTTAGTTTGTAGAAATGGGAACTATATTAAGACAGTTTCCTTAAGTATTCTAAACACACACACACACACACACACACACACACACACACACACACAGATACACTCACCAAAAATAACAAATAAAAGGACATAAGGAAACTTTTGGAGGTGATGGACATATCTATTACTTTGATTTCTGGTGATGGTTTCACAGGTGTATGACTATATCCATCATCAAATTGTACACATTGAATGTGTGTAATGTATTGTATATTAATAATATGTTAATAAAGCTGTTAAAGAAAAGGGAACATTTTAGTGTTATACTCAAGATGGGACAGCCTTGTTTCTCCCATCTTTTCTTTAATATGGAGTCTGTCATTGATAGTTTCAAGACTGAAGGTTAATGTTTATAATACGTGATATATAGAGAGTCTCTAGTGGGAAATATGAAGAATGTTTGATGGCTCCAGATTAGTTTATTCTCACCTCAAAACAAATTTGATCAGTCAACCGTTCAACTTATTTCTTCATCAAACAAATATTTAATAAGCACCTACTCTGTGCCAGATTCTGCACTAGGCACTTGCAATATAGAAAGAACAAGAAAATGTTTCCTTCTCTTATAAGGATGACAATTCAGCAGGGAATACAGATGACATGTAGTAAGCAAATATGTACAAAAATAACTAAATACATTTATCATATGTGGTTAAAAATTATGGTAGATGTGTCACACTTAGTCGACACTTAAAAATGTCTACTTGTAATATGTGTTCATGTATGTACATCTCTGTGTATATACATAAAGGATAGATATAGATGGACAATATAATGTGTATACTTTACAAAATTCTGATATATAACTATACACTTATGGTGGTGAGTGCTCAAGCAATTTAGCAATAGAAGAGCACTCTAGGAGACATGGAAAACACTGGTCTTCAGAATAAGGTGTGAGGTCCTCAGTGTAATAGCCGAGGCCTTTGTTATCTGGCTCCAATCCATTTTCTCCCATTACTGCTCCACCTACTCAAATAGAATTGATCTCCTGGATCTCCCTTATTCCCATCCTGTATTTATACCCTACCCTTATATGGTCTTGTTCTTTTTGTTCTCTCTGCCTGAGACTTCCTCTTTTATTTCTGCCTACCAAACAATGCCCTATTTTGAACTATTGCCTGACTAAAATCTTTATCAGCTCATTCAACTCCGTGAGTTCTTCACTGATCATTCAGCTAACAGTGATGCCCCTTGCTCTAAATCCCATAGGAATTAATCACATTTGTGGCTTATATCATATGTTATATTTAAATTACTTGATTTTATGGTTTATACACTCATTCAGTAAATATGTAATAGGTGCCTCATGTGGGCCAGCAAGTAGCAAATATATCTTTGCTGCAAATAAGCTTACACTTTTTCTCTTTGGTGAAATTTTGTTTCTGAAGAATAAGGTTATATTTATGTACCTTTGCAGTTATATTCAGAACAGACAAGATGTCTTGAATTTAATAGTTGCTGAATAAAAATTGGTGAATGTGTAAAGTGATTTCATTTAGCTGTTGGTGAATACATGTAGTGCTTTAGAATGTAAGAAGAGATTATACTAAAAGCTGCCATATTTTTCATCCTTATAAGCAACTATACCTCTTCCTACTATTTTCTATATGTAACATAAGCCTAGATTAAAACTACTGAAGATTTTACCTTTTGAAATATATGCTGAGTTAATCTTCACATATCTGCAAATTTCATATGGAGAATTATGAGAATAAATTAAAGCACATTGACATGTATTTTTTGAAAGAAAGATATTACTATTTTACTTTGCATTATATAAATAAATATGGCAAAAGTTTTTTGGGAAAGCTTCAGTATTTCAATAGCCCAGTTCACCGCTTTATGATCTGTCTGTATACACAGTGGTTCAGTTATTCCTCCATCGAAGCTGATTCCAATGAATGCCCTATAGAAAGAAGAAAGAAGAAAGAATAGAAAGGAGAAGTAGATATTTCAAATTTTGCTTAACTCTGCTGGCAGTTTTCCATGATGTCAGCCGTATTTTCTTTTTGCTCCAATGCAGGAGTTCATGGGGCTTATTTCTATGTTTCTTTAAACCTGTTCTCAAGCCATGATGCTGAAGATCCCCCCAAATACATGGCGGACCTCATTCGAGTTGTAAAGCAAATTTTTCAAAACAGGATTTTATATCTTTATTTTTCTTTGCAGTTGATGTGGCTCTGAGTTGCGTTCTGACTGAGCTCCTGAAAAACAGTACTGAGAAGCTGTCTATAAATAAGTAGTTTTGTTTACAGGAACTTACTGGGGAACTGGACTTGTACCACCTGCCATTTGGCCAATGTTGAGAAGTGAGAGGAAGGGGTTTCAGATAATTCAAATCAGCCAATCTACCTCAATGGAGGCTACCTTCTTTTTCTTATTGTTCTAAACTAGGTGTACATACCTTTTCCTAACTAATACACCTTAGATTAGAGCTATCAAGCAATGTTCTTTTACTTTCTCCTATTATACCTGGCCCTCTCTTCTTACAAGCTTTCTAAGAATGTATTTCCTTTGCCTATTGTGTCAACTAAAAGAGAATTGGGTAGGATGAAAAGAACTACATGAAAATAAACTGCCTAGATTTATGAAAATAAATATATGCAAAGTTTTACACTTACCCAAAATTCTTAATTTAAGCCAGCTAAGAAACTTCAATTCTGTGGGCTAGTGGCAAACTGGAGTCCATATGGAGTTTCTCAATTGGTCTTTCGAGTAGGTGGAATATAAATATCATGACAGCATTTCTGTCATGTCCCTTCCGTGGTCAGAGATGCTGTCTTTTCTATCTTGTTGGCCCAATGAATGGCGTGTCATGACAGAAATCATTAGTGAATTTTGTTTAATGAGGTAGCCACTCAGCTGATAAGTAACTAAAGCCAGACACTTGTTTCCTGAGATGGGTTTTGTATAAACCTAAAATGCCATTAGAAGAGGGAGGCAATTCTATTACTAATTTAAGGCTCACTTAAAGCTTGCTATTAAGGCAAATAAGAAATGAGTAGGCAAAGTTTTCTGTACATTCTGTAAAACATAAAGTAATATGAGGTAATTGGAAGATAGTCTGAAAAAAAAGCCTATCATTCTCTCCAAAATTTTACCCATTTCACCCACACTTACCAGTGTCATAGCCCACGCTGACTCCGATGGCTGAGAACATCTGTAAGATGAAGAACTAGTACTGTATTCTGAGTCACATATCCTATTTTTATTTTAAAGCCTATTTAGAGCTTGGCTACTATTAGGCTTGTCCTAATTTTCCTCAGTTACTGTGATTTTGATTACTTGCAAAATATACACTAATAGAGACTGTTTTTAGTGGATGCCTAGGATTAGAGAAATAAAGATAAGTTAGCTTGTAAGTCAAAAATTTAAATAGACTTAAAAATATAGGAAAAGACAATTGTATTTTGTTTCTTAAATGCCAAATATAATTATTAAGAAATTTTCAGAAGATGTCATCTATTAATACAAACAACAGAAGAATTGAACTGAAGATCTAGCCACTGCTCTGCTCATCACTCTGTTTTCATTAGCAATTATAAGGAAGTAGATCCAGAACTAGAGATGCATGATAACAAGACATTGGTGCAGTAACCAGTACTTTCAGACATCACCACAAAAACAAAAACTCAGTATTTCACAACCCTGTTGCATTGGCAATGTCACAATGCTACCTCGGGCAAGGATGTTGTCTCTTTTTGGGGTAAAATAGAGTTCCTTTTTCCCTCCCACAACCTTCTCCTGTAAATCACTTTTCTTAAAGGACAAACCTAAAGTTTCTTGGTTTCAAAATCACACTCATCATGGTGAGGGAAATCCGGCTCATGCCAATTAGAAAGTCAGCTTAATGTGTTTGCTTAGCTACGGAGAGTGATTAAGGGCACCGTTCCCTGGCAAACTACTTGTGGGTTCAAATATAAAAAGCCTTAAAAACACAATCCTAAGTGGTTTACTAATAACACAATTTACATCACTCTTGTATATTTTCAAAAAAAGAACATTACACCATAGTTTAAAATTTTAGAAAATGTATTAAGCCCACGGTGCTGTCATTGTATTCACTGAGGATGGCAAATTTCATCACACAGCCTCTCCTTGTCAATATATGCTTCTTGCCCTAATCATTATAAAACTCTTTTGGGGCCCCCCTTTCTCACCTAACAAATGCTAAGTGAAATGGAGAATTAATACATTTAGAAATTTAATTGAGGTTAAAAGACATCCTAAAACATACTCCAGACTTTCACCTTGAATATTTAGTGGGTTTTGTTTTTACACTTGAATTAAATAGGTAATAGTTTAAGTGCAGCTCCAATGAAGTGAAAGGCCAAAAAAAGTGGTCATTTTTCATTTCTGGCTACGAATATAATTCTATAGGAAATTTCTACTAGCCATGATGCTTATAAAATTAAAATACAATGGAATATACACAAATGGCCAGCATCTGGGATTGTAATCTGCACCTTCGTGGGGTGGTGAAGGCTGCAAAGATCATGAGAGGAGGAGAAGAATTTAGGGCTTCCTATCATCAATTCAGGCAGTAAGTCCTGAGCAGTAACTCTGGAAAGTCACTGCCATAGAATCACCGTGGTAATAATGTGTCTTGTTTTGGGCAAACTTGTCAACTTATGAAGAGAAAAGAGAAGTCTATAAAGGGCTGGCAATTTAACTTTAATATTCAACAAATGGCAAGCTGCAAATATGAAGAGAATCTTCCTTGTTTTCTTGTTTTTCCAATTGTGTTTATATATTGATGATAATATCAACATAACATTCATTTTATAATGTAAAGCATTATGTCATAAATATTACATATATGGTACTAGCGATATATTTTCAAAAGTTTCCCTTTAAAAAGAACTATGATTCTTATAATATGTTAAAAAATAAAGAACAGGCTACAGATATATCCAGGACACATTGCAGTATCAAAGATTTCAATCTAATGAAAATTTTTTGTTTATCTTGCTTCATTACATTCTCTAAGAATTTAATTTCCAAAGAAAGGAACAACTATTAAGATTTTTAGACTTTTAATGAAATTATTGTTGATTTACCTGCGTTGGGATAAACCATACGACAGAAGAATAGAGAAACAGATAATTATGGGGAGGTTCCTTTATGTTTGAAAAAAATTCATTCCTTAACAGATAGCAGAATGAAAGCATTTTCTTTGCTCTGGCATGTTTTCCAGGAATTCTACTAGTGCATGTGGAGAGAAACATGGCTGCTGCATGGAGTCATAAACCTCAGAGGAAGCTGAGAATGAGATGAAATGTATATGTAACCCTTGTGTATGGCAAGTTTGGCAAGAAAGAAAAAGCATACTTGGCAGATTAAGATAAGGTTTCTCTCTGTTTACTGATATAGTCTCAGGTTTGCATTGTGTGATGAATAATAGGTTGGGGGAAGATATCCTTTGTTTATTCATTCATTTCATCAACAAATATTTAATGAGTACCTACTATATGCCATGCCACAAAGAGTATAAACCTAGAGACAGAATGTTGAGTCACATAGACAGTGCTCCTGATACAATTATTTGAACTGAGTTAACAATACTTCAAGGTTCCATGTCTAATTTACTGGCTAGGTTCTCAACAAAATTTCTGGATAAGTTATTTGGCAATAGATGAACTTCAAATGAATCTCTTATCTTCATTATCACACAGAATGAGTTGTCTGGAATATTGGAAATTCACTGTGCTGTCCAAATTTTCTAAAGCTATACTTTGTGAAATCCCCAAACAATATGGATACATACTTGTCTCGTTCTGCTCTTTGCACCTACAATTGATACATTAAGTGTGCTATTTGCTACTTGTTTAAAGATTTGTGCATGTGTGGACTTTTTTGTGTATTAACCACAAGTAATGTTTTAAATTGCTATTGAGAAATAATGTGAGAAAAATATCTCACGTAGAACCTCATGCAGAGAAAATGTTCAATAAATGATTTTTTCCAATGATTAAACTATACTATTTATACATTTTTCTAAATGTACAAATAGTACATTTGTAGTGTGAACTACAAATAAATATAGTGTGAACATCAAGGACGAGGAACCAAGGGAGGAGTGATTTGTGAGTAGTCATCTGAGGTCATCTAGGGAGACCACTGCCCATATCAAGAAATTCTACTTCAAGAGAAAGTCAGCATTTAGGTGTTTGTCTTGGAGAGGGTATCTAAAGTCAAGAGTTAACTACCAACAGTTGTTGTTAAGTGAAGAAACAATTGCTTCTTTCTTCTAAGTCCACTTCTGCTTTAACTCTCAAGGAGTGAGGGGTAGAAATGATTGCGGGAGGAGGAGGAGTCAGAGAGTAGATTAGTTCCTCCACACCTGCCACATGTCCTTCTGTCCACTGATCAGGCCTAAATTTCTGGGACAGATGAATCCAGTTTTTGTAGGGCCTTATGAAATTTGGAGAATGCTCTTTCAAAAGCAGAACACAAAACATACAAATGCATCATTAGGTACAGGGTTTGTAAGAGGCCCTCCAAGTTCAGAGTTCTGAAGCTTAAAATTCATTATCTTTGCAGGAAAACTAGTTCTTATGGGAGTAAGGAAAAGAGCCATGAATTAGATATGATATTGACACCTGTGTTTAATAGAGACTGAATTTTTAAATATCCAGCCTCCTCTCTCTCTTGCTCTCTTTATCTCTCTCTCTCATCATCATTGACTTATCGTGTGTTCTAACAACTGAAAGTGATTGGAAATCTAAGATATGCCCAAATTATTGTCAAATAGCACAGAAAGCAGATCTGTCATAGAATATTAAAAGGCAATGGCTAGGGAACAATAAAGTCACTTCCTGCCTGTACCCTGAAACCATTTAATATCCTCAGCTCTAATTCTTTGTAAATTAGGAAAAAGAAGAGTATTTTATAATTACTTTAAATTAAACTCATTAATTAGAAGATAATCAATTACAGATAAATAATTAAAGATAAAAATACTCCCTTTGGGTGCAATAACTTCAGTCTCTGGGTGTGGACAAAAGTGCCAGAGGAATAAGTACCAGAAGGTATATTGTTAGAGCATAGGTCTAGCTTCATTTTATTTTTCATCTCATGGAGGAAGTAACTCCTTTGCCTGAGCTAGCTTGAGTCTTGTCAGAACAATTTCAGTTCTGAATAGGAATTTTTGTTTCCAAAAAAGGAGTCCCAGGTTTGCATTCTTAGAAAATTAAAAGGGATTATGACCAGACACATGATATCTTGTAATATTTGACTCTTCATTCTAGTACCATTTTTCCTCTCTATATTTCAATGAGAACATAAAAAGTCCAGAAACAACTGTCTAGAAACTGATGCATTAAATTTGTGGGAATTTCTGGGAGTAAATAAATGAAGCATTAGAAGTTTGGCTAATGGCTGTCAAAAATGTTTGGATGAATAATATTTAGAAAATTGATTTGTGAGATTCTGTTATCAGGAAATATATATATAATACTTTAAGTTCTGGGATACATTGCAGAATGTGTAGGTTTGTTACATATGTATACACATGCCACTGTGGCTTGCTGCACCCATCAACCCGTCATCTACATTAGGTATTTCTCCTAATACTATCCCTCCCCTAGCCACCCACCCTCCAACAGGCCCTGGTGTGTGATGTTCCCCTCCCTATGTCCATGTGTTCTCATTGTTCAACTCCCACTTAATAAGTGAGAACACGCGGTGTTTGGTTTTCTGTTCCTCTGTTAGTTTGTTGAGAATGATGGTTTCCAGCTTCCTCCATGTCCCTGCAAAGGACATGAACTCATCCTTTTTCATGGCTGCATTGTATTCCATGGTGTATGTGTGCCACATTTTCTTTATCCAGTGTATCATTGATGGGCATTTAGGTTGGTTCCAAGTCATTGCTATTGTGAATAGTGCTGCAATAAACCTATGTGTGCATGTGTCTTTATAGTAGAATGATTTATAATCCTTTGGGTATATACTCTGTAATGGGATTGCTGGGTCAAATGGTATTTCTGGTTCTAGATCCTTGAGGAATTGCCACACTGTCTCCCACAATGATTGAACTAATTTGCACTCCCACCAACAGTGTCAAAGCATTCCTATTTCTCCACATCCTCTGCTTTATAGCATCCTCTGCTTTATAGGTGTTAACCTATATTGTTTTAAGGGTTCATTGACTGCCTAATAAATATCTTCTCAAAGTCTGGACAAAAACATTCTCAAAAAAAGTATATGTTCCTTTCTCTGTCCCTAGACAATAAACCACTTGAGGATAAATCTGTGTGTATATTACTTGTGAGTCCTCAGAGCCTACCACATTGCTTGGAACATAATAGGCACCCATTTATATTTTTAAATAAATGAATGGAATCATCAAATCTACTACCAAAGTGGTATGTTGGAAAAATGTTATTAATAATTAAGGTGGATAACAGGGAAGGAAGATTAGTACGTGGTTCTACTTCTGACTTCATATAACTGCCTGAATGTCCATTTTAGTAGTTGTCAAAAATTCAGTTAAACTGTTTTGTGTTCCATGTATAAATGGAATCATGTAGTATTTGTCTTTTTGTGCCTGGCTTACTTCATTTAACATAATGTCCTCCAGTTCATCCATGTTGTTGCAAATGATAAGATTTCACAGAAATAGGGAGTAAAACAGTGGTTACCAGAGGCTGGGGAGTAGGGGATAGGAGATTGGGAAGATATTGGCCAAAGGAAACAAAATTTCAGTTACAAAGGATAAATAAGTTTAAGAGATTTATTTTACATATCATATTGCATATTAAAAAATTGCTAAGAGAGAAGGTTTTAATGGTTCTCACCACACACACAAAAAAAGTATGTAAGGTAAATAGATTGATTTGAGATATATATATATATCTCAAAAACATCATATTTTACATCACAAACATACAACTTTTATTTGTCAATTAACAGTATAAAAACAATGAATAACAATTCAAGTTTGCACAATTAAATCACTATCTCTGGTAGAATTGATGAAGCCTAGATTTCTAAATTAAAAATTATTATATTAAATGAGTTTGTAACCAAAATGGCTAAAACAGACTTAGAGTCCAAGTCTGTAGGACACAAAATCACCTGCATTTTTCACTACAACAAAATGGAATGAGAGTACAGAATTGAGCAATGTAACTGTCAATCACTGAGCAGTGACAGCAGTGGTCACAGTGGTCGGCTCCATTGAACCTTCTGGGGAGAGTTGCATGACAAAATGCTGTACTCTCTCTGACCTTCATTTGGAAAGCCATGAGCCTTGTCAGGCTTGGCTAGAAGACGTTCCCTCCAATTTGTGCGAGGGGCCCTCAGAATGTACTAGTATTATCAGAAAACACCCAAGCCACAGGAAATATAACTCTCAAGTAAGAAGAACACATCTAAGTAACAATAGCAGCACCTTAAATTTGAAAGCTCGCATTTACCTAAGCAGCACTTTCATCTAAAACAAAAGAAATTTGGAGGGTATTTTTAGTAATGGTCCTGGTCAAAGAAAAGCATCTGCTTTCATGATTTCAAGCAGCAAATCTACTTTTGTGAATATGCTGTGGGGGCTTGAAAGGATCTCTCAACAGACTCATACATGTTAAACTGCCTGATGCTTAATGTTAGGCTTATCTTTTTTTTTTTTTTTGATAAATTCTCCTTGGGATGCTTCTCCTACTCATCAAAGTTTGAAAATTCATCTTGAAGAGATCACAGTTCTTAACCCAGGTTTTAAATCTAATCAGATGACAGAACCTAGAAATTCATTAACAGTGACTCACAAATCCTCTCCTATTCCTTTTTTTTTTTTTTCTGTTGCCCTTCTAGCACCTGTGGGTTCCTCACTTTACTGTGATTTACCACACACACACACCAAAATCTGGATTGGGCTTTGCTATCTCTCATGTTTCCTCTGGCTTATCCATCTTACAAGTCACTACCTGACATAATTGCATAAATGGCAACTCCAATTACACAATTACCGTCTTCAAAAGGTCTTTTACCTTATAAGGTGAAATGCAAGTTAGCTCATCATTTTCATTTTCAACTCACTTTTCTCACCTTAAGTTTTTAAGGCATTGTATGCTCTTGTCAAATAGGTCTCCTCACTGTTTTTCCTATGGATGTCATATTGATTATTGGCTTGGCATTGTTTCTTTCTCTAACTCATTCCTTTTTATGGCTGAGTAGTATTCCATCAATTCCTATATATATATATATATATATATATATATATATATATATATAGGAATTCCATATATATGGTGGAATATATATATATTCCATGTGATATATATATATATCGCAATACATATATATTCCATGTGATTTATATATATATATGATGGAATATATATATATATAATCCATGTGATATGTGTGTGTTTGTGTATATATATATGTGTGTGTGTGTGTGTGTGTGTGTGTGTGTGTGTATCACAATTTCTTTATCCACTCATTGATTTTATGTGCCTTGGTCTATTTTTCTTTATTTTCTTTATTTTTTATTTTTATTTTTCCATAGGTTATTGGGGTACAGGTGGTGTTTGCTTACATGAGTAAGTTCTTTAGTGGTGATTTGTGAGATTTTGATGCACCCATCACCTGAGCAGTATACACAGCACCCTATTTTTAGTCTTTTATCCCTCACTCCCCTCCCACTCTTCTCTCCAAGTCTCCAAAGTCCATTGTATCATTTTTATGCCTATGCGTCCTCACAACTTAGCTCCCACATATCAATGAGAATATACAATGTTTGGTTTTCCATTCCTGAGTTACTTCACTTAGAATAATATTCTCCAATTTCATCCAGGTCGCTGCAAATGCTATGATGGAATTCCATATATATGATGGAATATATATATATTCCATGTGATATATATATATTCCATGTGATATACATATATGATGGAATATATATATTCCATGTGATATACATATATGATGGAATATATATATTCCATGTGATATACATATATGATGGAATATATATATTCCATGTGATATACATATATGATGGAATATATATATTCCATGTGATATACATATATGATGGAATATATATATTCCATGTGATATACATATATGATGGAATATATATATTCCATGTGATATACATATATGATGGAATATATATATTCCATGTGATATACATATATGATGGAATATATATATTCCATGTGATATACATATATGATGGAATATATATATTCCATGTGATATACATATATGATGGAATATATATATTCCATGTGATATACATATATGATGGAATATATATATTCCATGTGATATACATATATGATGGAATATATATATTCCATGTGATATACATATATGATGGAATGTATATATATTCCATGTGATATATATATGATGGAATATATATATTCCATGTGATATATATATGATGGAATATATATATTCCATGTGATATATATATATGATGGAATATATATATTCCATGTGATATATATATGATGGAATATATATATTCCATGTGAGATATATATATGATGGAATATATATATTCCATGTGATATATATATATGATGGAATATATATATTCCATGTGATATATATATATGATGGAATATATATATTCCATGTGATATATATATATGATGGAATATATATATTCCATGTGATATATATATATGATGGAATATATATATTCCATGTGATATATATATATGATGTAATATATATATTCCATGTGATATATATATATGATGGAATATATGTATATTCCATGTGATATATATATATGATGGAATATATGTATTTTCCATGTGATATATATATATATATGATGGAATATATATATATTCCATGTGATATATATATATGATGGAATATATATATATTCCATGTGATATATATATGATGGAATATATATATTCCATGTGATATATATATATGATGGAATATATATATTCCATGTGATATATATATATATGATGGAATATATATATTCCATGTGATATATATATGATGGAATATATATATTTCATGTGATATATATATATTATGGAATATATATATTCCATGTGATACATATATACACACATATATATGTATATACGTATATATGTATATACGTATATATGTATATATATGTATATCACAATTTCTTTATCCACGCATTGATTGATGAGCATTTGGGTTGGTTCCACGATTTTGCAATTGCGAATTGTGCTGCTATAAACATGCATGTGCAAGTATCTTTTTTTGAATAACGATGTATGTATTCTCTTTTTTGAACCTCCTTTTCAAGTCTGTTGCTATCCATTTATTACCCAGAGCCCTTCTCAGATGCATTCTCTCCATGAAGTATTTCAGTGTCTCAGAATAGATGTGATTGCTCCTTTTTTGAACTTTTCAAATATATATTTGACATTATAAACTGTTAATTATCACATACTTCTTTTATGACAGTATACAAGTTACTCTTGTACTTCTTACTATATTTTTCTAACTAGGCAGTAAATTTCTTAAGGTATGGAAGTATGCCTTATTCACCTTTGCAGTGCTTGAAATAGAACCATGGATATAGTAGTTGATCTGTATAGCTACAGATTACATTACTGCATATCTAGATAAATATGTATATATATACATATTGAATTAAGTAGATAAAAGAATTGCAGTCATATCAAAAAGAAAATGGACCATGTTTTCCTTTATGGCAGAGATGGTGACAATTCTTCACTTGACTTTTTCTATTAAAAACAGCCCACAACCAGTAAACGGCAGGTTCTTTTAACCAAAAAGTTATAAAGCTTGAACACACAATTCAACAGCCAAAGTGGATAATTAACTCACTCCTGCAGTGACATGTTTTAAATGGTGTGCTTTTCTATCTGTTATATCTACCCAAAGACAATATTCAGGATTTTTCCACCTACGACTTTGTCTCTTAATAAATTGTATAGGAAACTTTTGTATGCTCCTCTCTAAAATAGCATACCAACTTCAAAATTTCCTTAGATGGCATGCTGATTACTTAAGAACATCATTTACAAATTATTTGCCAAGTTATTTTTATAAACTGGAGTTTCTGCTGGGGGAAATTACTTTAAATGTTTGGCTGACTTGGGCCTCCAACAAATAGTGCTTGTCTATAAATATTAAACAATCATATGAATATGGAGCTGAAAATCTGAATTATACCTATGCCATGGGATTTATTATCCTCCTCTAAAGATGTCTGGGGTATGGAGGCTAAAAGATCTATTGCAAAGCCTGTATTATTCATTGAGAAAAATCCACTGAGGACCGTGACTTGAAAGTTTTGCAACTTTTGAGTACTTTTACATGAAAGCAGATTTCTTATCAAAAAAGAAGAAAATGCTGAAATATTAGTGCTGCCTTTAAAGATATCTTTTATTAGGATGGATTTTGAATCTAATATATAAAATCTGAAATATCAATTTGGGGGATTTGTAATGTTAGTCTTTGTTTGTTTTTGTTGAATGGTTTAAGAACAAAAGATTAACCTGAAAAAAGCCACATTGAAGGGGATGGATTTTGTTCAGCATAGCTTGGGCTGTAGAAAGGCTTGTGGGCATTTCTCACTCTCACTTGGCATTGTCTCAGAGGCCTGATCACAAGTGGTCAGGGATTCATAAGTGGATGGATTGTCTCTTCGTTTTGTCATCAATGGCCTGTGACCTTGGCAACCATTCATCCAGTAGTGTTTCTGTTGGTGTTTAATGATCATGGAATGTGAGAACACGATGGTTAAGAGCATGGTCTAGGAGCTGGGCTGCCTGGTTTGAATCACTGCTCTGCCACCTAAGAGCTCTGTAATTTGGAGCAAGTTATTTAACCTCTCTGAATCAGTTTCCTCACCTGTAAAACTGGTATAAGAGTAAGTAATACCTTCCTCTTTAGGTTTTGAGGAATGAACCATTCAATATTTTAAAGAACTTAGAATATTGCCTGGCATAGATTTAACAGCATCAGGTGTGCTAGTTATTACTTGCTCTGTAACCTCAGCAATCAACACAATAAACAAAATAACTGGCATATGGTGAACACTCAATACATTCTGAATGAGCAGCTAATGACGTTTTGATTCATCTAGAAACAAGCAAAAGAAATCAACTGTAGTGGGTTAAATAATTTTCAGCTTACTACACACCTGAATCTAGTTCATTTTGTCTGATTCTATGGTCTTAGTGAACTTAGAATTGCTCTAACCTTAGACTCTTCTTATAAATCTTCTCTTATTGTGCTAAACCAAACGCTCTTGAACTCTAGAATTCAGTTTGCTCTTCAGAGAGACTGAATATAATGCACTTCAGAATGCCTGTGTAACTGAACACATAGTGACCACCTGGGCTCCTATCCTTTTCTCAAGAATGGGGGTAGAGGCTGCTCAGGCTTCATTCTGAGGCTCTGTTGTTACTGCCACTATAATTAGAACCAGGGGGACTTCCAGTTATGACTCATCCTAACCCTAGCTCACTGGATATGGTCAGAACCCATTAGGCTGAAGAACATAGCAAGTCAAATCCTTACTTGACTCACCCCTTTTGGCTCCTACTGAAGGTAGTGCATTATCTTCTCTAGTGTCTAATCTCACCATTGGTCTTTTCTTCCTCTTTCCACCCACAAAGTGCAACGTGAGCTGTATGGCAGTCTGACTAGCTACTGTTTTTCTTCAAGGGCTGATGTTCTTAGCTGAGGTGGGTTGTCTAAGTAACAGAGCCCCATCCCCTATGCACATTACTGAGTAATAGTTTCTGGGAGACTGTGGAAACTATGCAGTATTGGCATAATAGATCAAGACTTTCATCAACATAAAAGGAAAGGAATTACAAGGTACTTGCTGACAGGGAATTGTAGCTTGATAGGGCACTCAGGGGGCAGATACACTAAAAGCATTTTGGCACAGTGAAGTGTATTTCCTGGACAGATGTGTTCCATTTGTGAGGGAAGGGCCTCGCACTTCTCACCAGTTCTAACATGCCAGCTACAAGTAAGATGAAGCCTTGTGTGTCAGCTACCGTTATCACAGGAAGTTCAATGTTGTCACCCCCTTAAGGTGACATTACTTCAAGAAAACCAGACCAGAATTGTCTTCAGAGAAGAAGGCAGTGATTCCATTTTTGTTTAGTGTTTTCTTCTCTCAGATTGGCAGTCGGGTCACGTTAAAAGTGGCAATGTTTTGTTTGGTGTGTAAGCTTATAAAACCCTGGCCATTTCAGCACACAGCTTCTTTTTTGCCTTTTACAATTTTTTCTTATAAACTCCAAGTATATTAGTATTATTGACATTCAGAAGGGCTAGCTTACGAAAGTGTTGCTCAGAAAAAATGGGGATATTGTCTCAAAGAGAAGAAAGAACGCTTAATAAAATAAATCTTAACATTTCAATGGAATCATAATATATATATATATTTTCTATTGTTGTGCATGAGAAAATCTGGGAGGTAGAAGTTATTTTCCTCTAATTTTCACACTGCCTATAATTTTTCAGTTTTTCCTGATGCCCAATATTTTCTTTAGAGCTGAATAAGTAGATTCAGAGATTCTCTTAACCCAGAGAGCCCCTTTTCAACATCAAGTCTAATAAGGAGGCCCCAGACATAACTATAGTGTCCCAGACTGCCCTTTTATACTAGACGAAAGGTAAAACGAGCCGATCAAGTAACAAATTACAAATTGATGCAGGCAGTGAGAACAGAAGCCTGGTTTTCTGCCCTGTAATGTCTGCATAAAAGTGGAGAATATGGTTAAAAACATTGGCGACAGCCAGTTACCGGAATAGCTAGCACTTCCAGGAACAAATGCATTCCTAATGAATTTGTGGACACTGCATTTACCGCAACAACAGCAGGTTTTCTCACACATGCACTCCACAGCACCCGCCTGCGCAGGGTTTATTGACCTTCAGCAAACACTGATGGGAGAGCGGGCTGCCAGAGAGTGAGAGGCAGAGAGCCATCCAAAACATCTTGGAAAGGCCTCTGAGAGAAATTTTTAGTGTTTAGAAGACATACTCTTCTTCCTTCTGCCAAAAGTCATTTTTCTGTTAAAGGATTCAGAGAGTGAAAAAATATTATATGGTTTTCTAATGACATAGTCACACAATCCCTTCCAAGCCCACAATACCTGCCGAGATTTTGTCTCATTCTAAGGCTGCTCTTGTTTCTTGATTGTAGTATAAACATATCTTCTGACTGACTGAGAAGGGCTTTTCTTCTTTCACTGCTCATTTACATGGTTTTGTAATCTTCATGTGTATTAAACAGTAAGTGTGGCATGAAGAAGTATGTTTCCATAGGACATAACCTTACATAAACACTAAATAATCTGGACCTTGGAACTAATTGGCCAGAGAACAGTTCCCGCCCCCGCCCCCACAATCTGGCTAAAACTAGATGAACCAAAGTCATCAAAGTATGTTTTACTTATTTCGAAGTCACTGGCTGACTCACCTTTGGATACTGATGGTAAGAAGTCAATATGGGCCGTGCACAGTGGCTCACACCTGGTGGGATTGCTTGAATCCAGGAGTTCACGACCAGCCTGGGCAACATAATGATACCTCATCTGTACAAAAAAAAAAAAAAAAAAAAAAAAAAAAAAGCTGGGCATGGTGGTGCATGATTGTAGTCCCAGCTATAGCTACTTGGGAAGCTGAGAGGGGAGGATCCTTTCAGCTCTGGAGGTGATCACGAATGGTGATCAATGCAAGTGAAAGAATATGAAACAGTCAAATGTGAGACTTCTTGATAACTGATCAAATAATAAGAGAAAGATACCTCACAGGAAAATTGTATACATGATGTTTTTAGATCCTTTGCATTTCAGAGTATAAGAGATACCTAAGAAGTATATGATTCTTTGAAAGATCTCTCTTTTTTGGATAGTCTTTAAAAAAATTATTATTAAACTTTAAGTTCTCAGATACATGTGCAGAACGTGTGGGTTTGTTACATAGGTATATGCGTGCCATGGTGGTTTGCTGCACCCATCAACCTGTCATCTACATTAGGTATTTCTCCTAATGCTATCCCTCTTCCAGCTCCCCACTCCCCAACAAGACCCAGTGTGTGAAGTTCCCATCCCTGTGTCCATGTGTTCTCAGTGTTCAACTTCCACTTATGAGTGAGAACATGCAGTGTTTGGTTTTCTGTTCTTGTGTCAGTTTGCTGAGAATGATGGTTTCCTGCTTCATCCATGTCCCTGTGAAGGACATGAACTCATCCTTTTTATGGCTGTATAGTATTCCATGGTGTATATGTGCCACCCCAAAGGGAGCAATAACCTAAAATGAGAAGGATTATTAAGACAAAATCTTCTGGAAAGGGGTGGTTTAGTGTTAATGAAATATATTAAAAAGGAGAGATCTTTGCTATTGTGAACAGTAAAGCCCTCTCCTTTTTAGTATATTTCATTAACACTAAAGCACCTCTTTCCAGAAGATTTTGTCTTAATAATCCTTCTCATTTAAGTTGTTACTCCCATTGGGAGGCCTTTGTTTTGTACCATATAAGTAGTGCTTTGTCATTTATTTATACTTTGTCATTAAAATACTTTGTTATTTATTTATACTTGTTTAAGTTTCTCACGTTTCTTTACATTACTTTATTAGCAAAATTATTAAGTAGCCAAATTTTGTTCTGAGAGGTTTCTTTTTTTAATCATATTTGCTTGACTGATAAGATTATTTGGTTTCAGATTACATATGGCCTTGAATGATAATACAAAGTGTTTGGACTTTATCTATAATTTACCAGGAGGAATTTTTATGAAATACTTCTACTTGGGCTCCACATCCAAAGTTTCAATTCTACTAACCTGGAGTGAGGTCTGAGCATTGGTATTTCAAAAATATCTCTTTAGATGTATTAGTCAGAGTCCCAACAAGTGACTGAAATGAAGCGACTTTCATTAAGGGATTAAATGCAAAAGTGTGAGCAAGGTTAATGCAACAAACCTAATATTAAAGAGAAAGTAGACAGAAGATTAGTAACATCTGAAATCCATTAGGCTTCCTGACCTAGAGTCAGAGTGGGACAAAACTGCTGCCAGAGATGTGATTCCCAAACAGGAAAAAAATTCGGGAGAAAATACCCCGACTTCCCTTCTCCCACCCGCCTGTCTTTTGTACATGCCTTCCATGGGACAAATCTGAGGAGAAGCCAGTGAGCAAGGGAGCACAATGGCATACTGTGTAGAAGTTATCCTCCAGGGGCATAGAACAGCACAGAGAAGGAGTAAACATTTATGGGATAGGATAAATGGAAAATTACGTATAGCAGATGACTCTTTGTTTCTTTTTTTTTTTTTTTTTTTTTTTTTTTTTTTTTAGAGGTGGAATCTCGCTCTGTCGCCCAGGCTGGCGTGCAGAGGCGCGATCTTGGCTCACTGCAAGCTCTGCCTTGCCGATTCACGCCATTCTCCTGCCTCAGCATCCCGAGTAGCTGGGACTACAGGCGCGCCCGCCACCATGCCCGGTTAATTTTTTGTATTTTTAGTAGAGACGCGGTTTCACCGTGTTAGCTAAGATGGTCTTGATCTCCTGACCTCGTGATCCGCCCGCCTTGGCCTCCCAAAGTGCTGGGTTTACAGGCCATGAGCCACCGTGCCCGGCCAGGTGACTCTTAATGTACAGCTAAGTTGCAGAGCTACTGCTATAAATAGTGGCAAGACCAGGAAGCTTTTAGGATCTTTTTATCTGAAACCAGTATGTTAGAGTGGACTTTGCAATTGTCTAGTCCAACACTTGCATTTTTGTACTTGAAACTGAGGCCAAAGACTGATGCTACATATCCAATGTCACAAAGTTAGGAAAACTCAAATTCAAGGCTAGAATGTCTCCAAGTTATCAAATGCACAAAATGGTATGATGAAAATTATAGTTAAGGAAAATTAATTTGGTATCAATGTCTTTAAAATGAAAGATATTGGAGGCAAAGACAGAAGTTAGAAAAGTATTGGTAACTTTAGTATTGATGGCTTTAGGATCCTAACCTAAAGCAATAAAAATTGGAATGGAAAGGAGGAAACATTCTATAGAGCATGCAAATTAAAATTTATGGGCTTTTGTAAATTACTGTGTAATAAGGTGAATGAAAATGACTCTGGAGTCAAAGATGACTTGGGTAATTCTTGCTCAGAAAAAGTAGAAAATAGGTGGTAATAGCAGTAGAATAAGAACAGGAGTAGAAGCTTTTTCATAGGGAAGAAGAGTTTGATTTTAGGTGGGCCAATTTAACATAATATATGGGTAGAATAGACCATTGTCAGGTGTTGATATGGGAACTGAAATATGTATTTTAACCAGTAAGAGACTGTTAAAATATGTGGCAGTAAATACGTCTCCAGTCTCAAGGTAATTGTATTATTGAAATACCTGCAGGTGACTCTTAATGTACAGCAAAGTTTTAGAACCACTGCTATAAATAGAGGTAGGACCAGGAAGCTTGTAGTATCACATATCCATATTATATTATAAAACTCATTTACCAAGCAGGGAAGGTTTTAGAGCCATGTCAAAATATTTACTCATTAAGAGAAAAATGTGGGATGTTCCTAATATTTTTAATCCCTGGTTTATGGGACTGAATGATTTGCATGATACATTCCATATTCTAAGAATATTTTATTCTTGAAATTGATATCTATAAGTCAGTAGGCTTCCAAAAAATCCAAATAAGACTAAATTTGCCTATTTCAGATTATACAATAAAAACACATATTTTTCTTTTCTGTCTTTTGTTGTCTACCAACAAAGGATAATTCAGTATTAAAATATTAATAATTTGAAACAAGAGATATAAATAATGTTATAGTTAATTTGGGCTAAGTTCCTGCCATCTAGATAAAAAGGTTTCTAAGTAAAGATAGTTACTGTAAACATTCTTAGATTCTTGGGAAAAAAGTGCTAGTATGGATGAAATATTAATAGTTTTCATCATGCAGTCTTTGGGTAAATTAATTTATTCTGCAGTCTTCTTAGCAAAATAGATTTACTTGTTTCTCATCCCTGATACTTTATTCAAATCAAGTGAAATTAAGTCATTTCTCAGTAAGAGGCAGTCATTTTAGGCCAATAAAAACACCTACTACTAACCTAACTTCTTTTTATAATGGCTCTATCTAACTATAACTCCTCCCCTACAATTTCATGTGGTGAACGTTTCATAAAGATATTTGTTCTCAAAAACAAGTAATATTTTTAGAAGTTGTTTACTAAATATAGTAGTCCTTTACATTTCTATCCTTATTCTACCACCTCACTTATACTGCAAAAAAATGTGAAAAATGAAATTCTAAAATTCTAACTTCAGTAAAATTCTGAATTTTAAGAAATTTACCCAACAGAAAATTAATTTTGAAAAAGCCATTTCAGTATGGAATGATGAAAATACTGGTAGGGAAATTAAAGGCATTAATTTCAAACAGATCTGATTAAGTCGTGCAAGAATATTTTCTTTGGGCCTTTTAGCATATTTATTTGCAAATTGATAGGTATGTCTTTAAGTAAGTTTATTTAAAAAAAATCCATTGCTTCTTTCTTTAAGAAAATAGTCATATTCTTTATGAGATTAAAAAAATCTAAGTAAAACTTGTGATAAATGATCTAGATGTCTTAACTCATTTTACTTTGTAAATAGTACACTGTCCATGTGTTACTTAATTGTATTCAACTACAGTTTTTTGTTGTCGTTACAGTTAAAGTCAACATTAATCTCTCAAGGCATATACTTCTATTCAAGTTTGGCAGAAATGCTGAACATATCAAGGTTTAAATTGTTAGGAGTTTAGTTCAACCTCTGCTGGGTCCCTAGGCTCTTATTGTAAAACTACTGTTGGCATTTGCAACCCATATAACATCTTGGAATCATGGGAATCAACTCTGAAATGCCAAGAATTGAAGATCAACTTTATTTTTGGAGGGAATTCTATTACGAGTTTTTTGGTAGCTCTGCAAGCTGTGTGAACGGAGGGAAAAATAACCTAAATTACACTAATTCACATTCCACTGTTAACCACATTACTTTGAGACTTTACTCTCAGTTTCACACCTTGTCCTGTTCCCAGATGAAGTTGACTTCTCAAGAAATGCACAAATTTTTCTGGTCTGCCCACTCCTTAAGGGGTAGATCATAAATTAAATCAGGCAGTGTGATATTTCTATTGCCCACTTCTAAAGGTTTCCACAGACTCTTGGAATAAAACACTTTAAGGCACAGTGTTTATTCTTGCTTCATGATATTTATATGTGCATGATGCTATAAATATGAGTTCAAATGCATTTTTAAATGAGCTGATGAGTAATGCCACCCAAACATTTACATTTTAGTTTTTAGAAGTAAGATGTCATAGTCTAAGGTGTAAAATCCAAATCTAGTTGGTTTGAGGCAAGAAGTGCAAATGAGTGAGAATTTCTTTTTTCCAGAATGGAAATTCCAAATGACCAAGCCACTTACCAGCTGTGTCCCTGTATGCAGGTTTCCTTACAATGTGAGAAAGGCATATTGATTCAGTGTTTTTTTTATAAATACATACGTAGTGGTTCATCAATCATATGAGGTTGGGTGGTTACCTTATGGTAACTCTATAAGTCATTATCAGTGTAGTAAGGAGTCATAAGCTCCAGTTAGAATATTGTTTTCATAGTCTATCTTCCATATACTCATTCCTACTTGTTAAACTTGAAAGTTAGTAAGAATTTGAGGGAAGGGGAAGGGGAAAGGGAACAAGAACCATTCATGTGGATCATCATTATTTTTTTAGTCCAGGACTAATTTTGCTATGGTTTATCTGTCTGTTCCCTTGTTCCTCTGCCCCTTCACTCTGACCAGTTCTTTTGTAAAACATTTTCCTTTTACATGTATTTCAGAGATGTATTATTGTCTTTTGTTGACCGATGGGAAAAGGAAGAGGAAAAGAGGTGACCGAGTCTAATAATTCTTAAGGACAAGACCTGAAAGTTATCTTTATTTCCATTTATATCCCATTTGAAATGACTTAGTCGTAAGATTCAGATAGCTGAAAGCAATGCTAGGTAACAGGGAATATAGCTGGATGACCATGCAGGGAGTTTATGTACAAAAGGAAATAGCAGGGAATAGATAATGTGGGAAATTAGCAAGCTCTATTACAATAAGCATATCCTAACAAACTAAGCTAATATTCTACATAAAAAATATAATTTCACAGTATAACATACACAGTAGGAAACTGTTGGAGACAATAATTTAATACAAAAATTAGGTGACGTTCTATTGAGAAAATATTGCCTATTTGTATTTGCACCAAGCAGAATAATTTTTCTTGATACATAGCCTTAGAGAACTAATATGTGTGTAAAATAGTGAATATTTATAAAGTATGTCAGAGATACATGTCCAATTCATATGAAACATGTCCTAGATTTTAGGTTTTCTGAATAAAGAAGAAAAAGTTTAGTCAGTTAACTCTATATTTGTTTTTTTGGAATTTCCCCAAAAAGACACAACATATTTTCATATTTTAATGTTCTATTATACCAATTATTATGCTTTAATAAATCTTATTAGTGTGATGGGTCCATAAAACCTAATTGGTCACTGATGGAGCTTTCTCACAGTAAAAACTCTTTATTGTACTTAAGAATGACAGGTAAATTAAAGGTCCTTAATGGAAGAACAAGGGAAGTCTTGGTTATAGTATATATTTAGCTGGAATGGAGTACAGTAGTTCATGGCACGTCATCCTTCCGGTTGTTCATTAATGAGGGCAAGAGGAATGTGATATTAAAGGAACAAATCGATGAAGGAGTAGCTTTAAAGGCAAAAATAGTATGATTTCAAGAATGCAAAGCAATAGCACTCACTTCCAGTCTCCCAGTAGAGAAATCTGGTTACAATATTTCTTTTTGCTCAGTTTTCCCTCAATCTCTAGTTCATTATTGAGTCTTATTGCCTAGCCTCCATAAATACCTTGATCTATCCCCTGCTCTTTTCCCAATGTTGCTAGTCTATGTTAAATCTAGTTTATTGCAACAAGCCCCCTAACTACTTTTCTTGCTGTTCATCACACGCTTTTGTACTATACTGCCCACGCCTGTCATAGTGCATTACCCAAAGTACACGTCTGTGAATGTTTTCCCCCTAGAATCCTTTGATAGCTCTCCATGATTTTAAGGATAGAATAGTGTCCTTAGCTCAGCATACATGGCCCTTCATAATCTGGCTTTTGCTATCAATATAGTTTCACCTGTTGTAGTTTCTACATATGTTCTCTCTAAAAATAAAATTATTTCTAATTCCCTGGATATATCCTATAGTTTCATACTTCTAGGCCTTAAAGAACATCATCTCCACTTTGTCTACTTGGCTTTCTTCAATTTCATCTTCAGGATTGAGCTCAGATTTCACTGAAAGAAAAACAAGCAATACAACCTTCTCTAGATGATTTTCTACTTCTGGCCTGGCGTGGTGGCTCATGCCTGTAATCCCAGCACTCGGGAGGCCAAGGCTGATGGATCACGTGAAGTCAAGAGTTCAAGACCAGCCTGGCCAACATGGGGAAACCGCATCTCTACTAAAAATACAAAAAATAGCTCAGCATGGTGGTGGGTGCCTGTAATCCCAGATACTTGGGAGGTTGAGGCAGGGGAATCGCTTGAACCTGGGAGGAGGAGGTTGCAGTGAGCCAAGTTGTGCCACTGCACTCCAGCCTGAGTGACAGAGAAAGACTGTCTCAGAAAAATAAAATAAAAGTAGAATTTTCTACTTCTAACATCAGGGTTAAGGGCTCCTGTCCTGGGCACTGATTATATCTCAGTCATGTCTCTGTCAGACTACCTGTTGCACTATATTGCATCTCACTATGTTGTATTATATGCTACAGATCAGTCTGGTCTGTGTGTTCCTTGAGACCATAGACTATGTCTTTTATCTCCACCTTCCTTACACCTAGCCCTTTTATAAAAGCCAATAGCTACTCTTTGAGAGCTTGCTTAAGAGAATTAGTTGATAAAGTAATGATAGAAATGTATGGTGATATTTATAAGCCTTGTGAGCATTTTTCTTAGATGTAGACAAATCTGTGAAACATTTTCTTCATTAATTAGTGGTATTGAAAAGGTATACTAGAGAGTTTCAGGTCCCAGGCACTCTAGACAAACTGTGTATTCACTTTACAAGCCAGTCATCATATTTGCCAACTTCAATAATTCCCTATTTTATCTGAAACAAACAAACAAAAAAGAAAGAAAAAGATTCTGTTATTACTCTGTATTTAAATGAAAGATGTTGAATGAGATTGAAACAAAAATGATTCCCTCAATACAAATTCTTAGAAGGCATGGCAATTGCATTTTGGATTATGTAGCAGACCATCAGTGAATCAATAAAATATCAATGATCAAAAATTAAAAATCAATTTTTAAAAAGTAATTTATTTTTAATGGACAAATTATAATTGTATATATTTGTGGGGTACAATGTAATGTCATAATCTATGTATACATTATAGAAAGATTCCATCAAGCTAATTAACATATACATTATTTTAGCAACTTACCATTTTTTTGTGATGAGAATGTTAAAAATCTATTCTGTTAGCAATTTTGGAATATATAATACATTATTATTAACTGTGATACCCTGAGGTGCAATAGACCACTAAAATTTATATCTTCAGCCTAACTGAGACTTTGTGCTCTTTGATCAACATCTCTTTTTTCCATCCTTCCCTCTCCCAACAAGCCTCTGGTAACCACCTTTCAACTATCTGTTTCTATGAGATTGACTTTTTTAGATTTCATATCAGTGAGATCATATATTGTTTGTTTTTCAATGCAAGTGGCTGTAAGGATATCCCTCACTCTGTTTTCATATTTGAAAATAAAGTCACATTAGCAATACATTATAGAATCATAGAGAGCTAGATCAAGTTCTTTTACAGGGAAATTATCAGAAATTTTCTATTTAGAGAAACTATTTCTAAGCACCAAAGGGCTATTAGGAATAATATTTAATACACTGTTTTACTACTATTCTGCAAAATATACACCCTCCAGAAAATTACTGTAAGACTCAGCCACTTTGAACCACACCTGCCTCTGAGGATTTTTTTTACTGTTCACTCTCTAATTCTGTCTAGAGTAAAACACGTTCTTATTACGGTGAACCAAGATTACCAGGTCATCTAAATAAAACTATTGTGTCAACTGCTTGAGTAAAATTTCTATTAATTTTATTTTCTTTCTTCAATTCTGATTATTGGTTAGAACAAATACTTCGTTTAGTTATAGAATATACTTAAATCATCAACTGTTTTGGTGAAAAGGATCATTTTGCTGAAAGCATTCTACTAAAATTGACAATTGTTTTTCCTTTTTTTGTTGTTATTACTGCTGTTTTCCTTAAGTAACAAATATTTAATGGATATTGGTTACAGAGCATTCTTTCCCCTAAAGAGAATATCTATGGACTAAGAAGTCAGTAGTTTCTAAATTGTATTGCTTTCATTCCTGTTTTTAAAAAAGGAAATAGAATTCCTAAAATAACATTGTATGCAAAAAAAAGAAAAACATTCTATTTGGTAGACAAAGGAAACTCATGGGTTGAATCACTTCTTTCCCCTGAATTCTTTAAAAACTTCCTCTCTATGTCACTTTCAATTTGAAATAAACATTTGCAATAGGCATTGAAATGGTTCTTTGATATTCTTGAAAACAACCTCCCACCTATTTTCCTCTTCCTCTTTCCTTCCACTTCCTCCTTTATCAGGTCTTCTGTTTTCAGATATCTGACTCAAACATGAAAAATTAATTCAAAAACACTATTGGATCTTCATTTACCATTTTCTCAGCATAAAGGTCATACTCTATAAGGTACAGTTAACCCCATCAATCCAGAAAAATTCCTGGCTCATATTTGGAATGACACTTGCTTTTATTCCTTTTTATTAAAAAAATATTATTATTATTATTATTATTATTATTTGAGACAGAGTCAAGCTCTGTTGCCCAGACTGGAATGCAGTGGTGTGATCTTGGCTCACTGTAACCTCCGCCTCCTAGGTTCAAGTGATTCTCCTGCCACAGCCTCCTGAGTAGCTGGGACTACAGGTGCTCGCCACCACGCCCAGCTATTTTTTTGTATTTTTAGTAGAGACGAGGTTTCAACTTGTTGGCCAGGCTGGTCTCAAACTCCTGACCTCAGGTGACCCGCCCGTCTCGACCTCCCAAAGTGCTGGGATTACAGGCATGAGCCATCATGCCTGGCCTAATTTAATTTTTAGATCGAGGGAGTACATGTGCATATTTGTTACATGGGTATATTGCATACTGTGGGGACTGGGTTATTAGTGTACCCACTACCCAAATAGTGAACATTGTACCTCATAGTTAATTTTTCAACCCTCACTCGCCTCCATCCCTCCCCGCTTTTGGAGTCCCCAGTATCTATTATTTCCATCTTTACGTCCATGTGTACTTACTTTTTAGCTCCTACTTACAGACGCTTGTTTTCATTCTTGAAAAGATAGTATTGATTCAGACCTATGGACATTTGAAAGATAAAAATGTGCTTTTTCTCAGAGGGCTTTTGTGTCACCATGTTTTGCATTTTTCAGAGTCATATTTGTCAGAAACCTCACACTGCTTCATTTAGTTCTCTTTAAAATCTTAACATATGATGAAAGCATTCCTTTCTGATCTTAACCCATAATGCAGTAGACTGTTTTGGTTAACTTGTTTTAATATACTACAAAGACAAAATTATTAAATATATATTTATCTCTTCCTTTGTATATAATTTTTCATTCATAATTGATGCATTAACATGGTATAACACTAGCGAAGTGGATGTATTATTTAATGTCAAGACATTTGACTGTGAGCAAGATGCTATTATGTGAACATATTTTGAAAATCATCATGCTTGATGCAAATGCCAGTTATCAGCATGAGTCTTAACATTTGAGTGTCCTGTGGGTAAATGTATCCCTTCAAATTTCACTTTTGTACAGGGCTGTTCATATACTTCTTTCATCTGTCTCTGGTATCAAAAAACCAAATGAAAAATTTTAAAAATGAAATTGTAACTCACATTTCTTTGGGTTTGTACAATGTATATAGTTACATTGGAGCAACCCCCAATCATGGATATTTTCCCCCCTCCTTTGCTAATGTAGAATTTCTAACCTCTGTCAAAGTCTTATCCAGTTCTGTTCAGGAGTTCACAGGAGTATCTCCCAGGAGCTACAAATAATTCTATTGCATTCCTGTAGACTGCAGTTCCCAGGAAGTCACTGGAGAGTGGCCCCTCAATGATGCTAATTGTTTGGAAAATAACACTTCACGTGATTTCAGATGATATTTATAAAATATAAACATTATATAGTAATAAATACATAGACATATAGGTATGTATATGAGTAAATGCATATTTTATTTGCTTATTTATTAAACATAGTTGTAACTTGGTTAGCAATATGGAATATATTATGGACTTTTCCCATGTGCTTGTGTATATATTTAATGTTTTTTGTTTGTTTTTAGAATTAAATACTATTCAAGAACATGGCTATACCATAGCTTGTTTTTCCAGTCTTGATATTAATAGATATCCAGTTGTTCCAATTTATTTTTTGTTATTATAAACAATACTCTAATGAACATCATTGTTCTATACTTGATTAAGTACTACAAAGTAAATTTCTGCAAGTGAGAAAATTGGGTTATAAAACATCTGTAATTTAAGTTTTGATATATCTTGTTAAATCTCCTTAAAAAAGTATAAGAGTTTGCTTTTCTACATTTCCACCATCTGTCTATCTATCTATCTTCTATCTAGTCAATATATATCACTATCTATATCACTATCTATATTTATCTATCTAATCATTCTCTCTGTTTATATCAATATCACAATCTCACTACCATTGAAGTGATTCTTTTAACCACTGTTAAGGATAAACAAAGACAATGATATTTGTTGCCCCCCCAACTTATGTTTAAGTTTTCTGCATATAGAAGAATATTAATTCATCTTTGTAAATCATTACAATATTTGGCTCATCATTCTGCAACAGTTTAACCTTAACCATACTCTGGTTTACTTAAAAGCAAAACATTCACCTCCTTGCTCTTCCAAACTGCAGAGACTGAAGGTATATGTTTTGTTTTGACACTACTTCTTAAGCAATTAGGCCTCTGAGGCGGAGGTGAATACAGGGTCAGTGGAATTTTCCTTCATATGTGTCTGTTTATCATTGGAGCAAGCTGAGTTCCTGTTATGTAGAGAGCTTGAATAATTCTGAATTTTGCTATGGTTCTGAACTAGGGCTGTTATGAATTGCTTGGTCCAAAGGTTACAGTAACAACCAACTTAACAGGCTTGTGGTTGTTTCATCATTCATAATGCTTTTCGAAACTTACACAAATCCTTCTCCATTCCTAAAGATGAGCATCCTAATTATGGCATGTCGTTTGACCTTACTCTTGAGTTTCAGATTCCAAAAACATATGGGCCTTTTAAATGGAACTAGCAAGCAATGAAAGCTTACACTCTGTACCAAAGTCCTTTCTAAGATAGGAAAAGAGGGGGTTCTTCCTTCCATTGCAAATCGTTCCTTCATGCACTTTATCGACACTCACTCTGACTCTGCTCATGGGTTTTGCGTATGTGCTCTGAAGGTGTTTATGCTCATCTCCCCAGTAAAATATACTAGCTTACACTTTCTACTGCTTAGTTACTATAAGGCAGAGGACACCGTCGGTCACAAAGAAACTGGAGAAATGAGGCAACCGCCCAGTACTAGGAGCCAATGCACACACACACACACACACACACACACACACACCTGCACAAAAATACATAGAATATTGAGTGTTCAAGGTATCGTTTGAAGAATAAGTCACAACTCTTCACTTTAGTTTTGTATTAGTTCATTCTCACATTGCTATAAAGAAATACCTGAGACTGGGTAATTTATAAAGAAAAGAGGTTTAATTGATTGATAGTTCTGCAGGCTGTATAGGAAACTTGGCAGCTTCAGCTTCAGGGAGGACTCAGTAAACTACAATCATGGCGGAAGGTGTAGGAGAAGCAGCAGGCACGTCTTACGTGGACGAAGCAGGAGGAAGAGAGAGAGCCGGGAGGCGCTACACACTTTTTTTTTTTTTTTTTTTTTTTTTTTTTTTGAGACGGAGTCGTGCTCTGTCGCCCAGGCTGGAGTGCAGTGGTGCCATCTCGGCTCACTGCAAGCTCCGCCTCCCGAGTTCACGCCATTCTCCTGCCTCAGCCTCCCCAGTAGCTGGGACTACAGGAGCCCGCCACCACGCCCAGCTAATTTTTTTTTGTATTTTTAGTAGAGACGGGTTTCACCGTGTTAGCCAGGATGGTCTCGATCTCCTGACCTCGTGATCCGCTCGCCTCGGCCTTCCAAGGTGCTGGGATTACAGGCGTGAGCCACCGTGCCCGGCCGGTGCTATACACTTTTAAACAACCAGATCTCATGAGAACTTTATCAGGAGAACAGTACTATAGGGATGGTGCTAAACCATTCGTGAGAAACCACCTCCATGATCCAATCACCTCCCACCAGGCCACACTTCCAACGTTGGGGATTACAATTTGACATGAGATTTGGGCGGAGACACAGATCCAAGCCATATCAAGTTTGCTGATATAGAAGGAATTTATTCTCTATTATCCTTACTTCAATTAATGTTTCAATCACTTTCTTAACACCATCCACAATTTGCACCAGATTTCAGACATTCTTCTATCAAACTTGTGACTTTCATTTTACCAAAAAAACTTCTACAATTGTCCAATATTGTCTTTAAATTGAATTGCTTTTTTTACTTTGAATACATTTGTTTATAAGAAAACACATGCTACTACTCTAAGAGAAAAACTAGAATCACTAAAATAAGTGGAAGTAAATACTGTCAAAGCAGAATAATATTATTTGATTCTACCTAGGTACTAATTCTTGCCACAGGTTCTGGCTCTCAGGCCTCCTCTTTTTTTGTTAAAAAAAAAAAAAGTGGGGGGGGGGGCGATGTATAGGTAATTTTTAAAGGCTAAAATTTTAATAATGTGGCATTATTCCTAGGATCAACAATGATAACTATGCACATTTTGAGAAATACTTGTGCTTGTCTGCATTAAACTAACTCTTCAACCCCAAATAAGATACATAATTGTTTCATTTGCTGATATATGAAATAGTACAATTTAGGTGTTTCCCTATGAAGCAGAATGGTAGAACTGATTCCATGAATACTTTTTTAGACCACATTTTTATTTTAAAACCTTCTCCCCCCCAAAAAGTCTGTAAATAATCAGTGGGCTACAAATGAAAAACATTCAAATGTGAGTTTTTGTCACCTCCCAGAAGGATTATGGCTCCCACATGGGTAATAACAGTAAGAAAAATTCCAGCATTTATCTTTTCCAATTTCCTTCTAGGAGTTTCTCTACTTACTCTTTTGTCTATATGTCGTGCCATCCATATTTGAAAGCCCATATTAAGGAAAGTGAAATCCTTGATATGCTGAAGATTTGGGAGATAGCTGGGATGAGAGCTATTTTTTTTTAATCCATTCCCAAGTGATCCTGTTGTTACATTGTTCCGAAAGAGAGGCATGTACTGTATTTAAAAATCAAATACTAATATCAAATATTCCACTGAGCAAAAAAAAGCCACTATATACTTTGAGTTTGTCACTGATTATCTAATCTTAAAAATAGTACCAAAAAAAAATCTGTTTTCTCCCCTGACTCAGCAAATAGTCAGATCCTGCAAGTATAAAGACTCACACCAGTCAAGTAAGTTATATATAATATTCTAGGTTAAGTCATTGACTCACATTTCAATGAAATTGTTATTTCCATAATGGGAAACCACTAGAAATTTATATTTGGATCCTCATAATCTTACATAAGTGATCAACCTACTCTATTCCCCTCTTACTCATCCACCTTGCTCATTTTTATAGGACTAAAACCATTTAGAGAACCTCAAATATTCTCAGCAGATGAAACTGCAGAATAACTATCAAAATATCTTCTTACCAGAATTATATAAATGACATTCATCAAACTGATTGATTATAGATGGCAAATATCTTAGCTGGTCCTTGGTATGTTTTTTCAAGGAGTGCAAGTATGATATATTCCTTGACTCTTTACACACTTATAGATCAACCTTTATTTTAAATTTCACTCTATTTATTTGATTAAGGAAATGTACCCAGAAAACCTTCTCAGCACCTCAAAACTGCAATAAGGTTTGTAAATGTAGTGGTTTTGGTGTCCTGATTGGCATTCTTCCCCTTACCTTACCTCCCTACATCCCAGCATCTCCCTCTCTGCCCCTTCATCTTTTTCCTCCCCTCTGCTCCCTTATTTGATTCCTTTAAAATATGTCCATTGAGTGCCTGCTATGTATGAGGTACTATTGTAGAAGGATTTGGGAAATAGTGGTAGGAGACAGTAGTAAAAGACACATACTCTTCTGGAGTTAGAACACCTGGATTTGAAGCTGAGCTCCATCACTTAGGTTAATCAAAGAGTATGTAGTAACATTCGTACTGTACAGCTGACCTCTGAGCATTTATGTGCTCACTTGGAAAGTGGGGCTTCTTCTGAATGTTGCTGAGTATGTTCAATAAGAACATTCTGGCAAATCATTTAGCTCAGGGCGTGACTGATAATAGACAATCAATAAATGATAGCTGTTTTGCTACCTATCATTATTATGGAGTCCATTCTATTGAGAATTACAAAGTCTAGAGGAATTACAAAATAATGCAATTTCATCATGCACTATTGACATACTGTGGTACAGCTCAAAGTGCAAGGAAGAGGAGACACATAAGAAGTGCAACTAAAACAGCCTTGAAGGAGGGCAATGATGCTTTTCTGGGGAGGTGACATTTGAATGAGGTCCTGAAAGGTTAGTAATGTCTGCCAGTCTGGAAGGGACCAGAGGGAGGACAGAAGTACAACTCTAGGGTGAGGTGAAGCAGCTATATATTTCTTTTTCTTTTTTTAAGTAGGTGGCAGATTCACTGTGTGTTTTATTATTATTATTATTATTATAACTTAAGATCTGGGGTACATGTGCAGAACGTGCAGTTTTGTTACATAGGTATATACGTGCCATGGTGGTTTGCTGCACCCATTAACCCGTCAACTACATTAGTTATTTCTCCTAATACTATCCCTCCCCTAGCCCCCAACCCCCTGACAGGCCCCAGTGTGTGATGTTCCCCTCCCTATGTCCATGTGTTCTCATTGTTCAACTCCCACTTATGAGTGAAAAGATGTGGTGTTTGGTTTTCTGTTCTTGTAATAGTTTGCTGAGGATGATGGTTTCCAGCTTCATCCATGTCCCTGAAAATGACATGAACTCATCTTTTTTTATGGCTGCATCATATGCCATGGTGTATATGTGCCACATTTTCTTTATCCAGTCTATTATTGATGGATCAAAGACTTAAGCATAAGACCTAGGACCATAGAAACACTAGAAGAAAACCTGGGCAATACTATTCAGGATGTAGGCATGGGAAAAAACTTCATGTCTAAGACACCAAAAGCGATGGCAACAAAAGCCAAAATTGACAAGTGGGATCTAATTAAACTAAAGAGCTTCTGCACAGCAAAAGAAACTATCATCAGAGTGAACAGGCAACCTACAGAATGGGAGAAAAGTTTTGCAATCTATGCATATGACAAAGGACTAATACCCAGAATCTACAAATAACTTAAACAAATTTACAAGAAAAAAACAAACAACCCCATCAAAAAGTGGGCAAAGGATATGAACAGACACTTCTCAAAAGAAGACATTTATGCAGCCAACAGACATGAAAAAATGCTCATCATCACTGGTCATCAGAGAAATGCAAATCAAAACCACAATGAGATACCATCTCATGCCAGTTCGAATGGTGATCATTCAAAAGTCAGGAAACAACAGTTGCCAGAGAGGATATGGAGAAATAGGAACACTTTTACACTGTTGGTGGGAGTGTAAATTAGTTCAACCATTGTGGAAGACAGTGTGGTGATTCCTCAAGGATCTATAACTAGAAATACTGTTTGACCCAGCAATCCTGTTACTGTGTATATACCCAGAGGATTATAAATCATTCTACTATAAAGACACATGCACACGTGTGTTTATTGCGGCACTATTCACAACAGCAAAGACTTGCAGCTATACCTTTCTAAAAGCATACAAGTTGTCTGGATTGGCTGAAGTGTGGAGTACAAAGGGAGGAGGAGTATTCTTAATAGTTTCTCCAGGATAGATTACTAAAGGCCTTGCATGCTTTGCTAAAGAACTTGAGGAGCATCAAAGAAGTTTAAGTTGGGGTTGTACATGTCAGATAGTTTTCCCTTTAAAAAGGTCATCCCTGCCCCAATTTGGAAAATAGTTTTGTTGTTGGAGGGAGGAGCAAGACTATAGGCAGAGAAAAATCAAATCAAATAAAATAAAGAGGGCTAGAATGGGATGGAGAAAGAATAGTTTGGGATAGAGAAACAATAGTTTTTCATTTTCCTGAAATGGGCAAGGAAATCAGAGGATCAGGTCTAGGGATGAAGATAATTGTCATTGTTGTGGTTAAAAGCTCAAAATATGGAAGAATATAGAAAAATTGTTAATAAACCTCTGTGGTCTCAGCATATAAAGTTTAACACCACCGTCCTGTGAGGATTTCATTAAATTTTCAAACTAAAAATCATAGAACATTACAGATAGACCTGAATCTCCTTTATTCCAAACTTACAAACTTAGAGTTTTCCCTCTCCTTCTATCTTCAGTGGCTATCACTGTCATGGATTTGATGAATATCTTTTTGTTCAGTGTTTTTATATGTCTTCTACACACACACAAACACACACAAAGCTATATATATATGTATATATATGATATATTTATTTTAAAATTAATATAGATTGTATACTATCTATATATTAAATTTCTAATATTATAGATTGTATAATTTAGTATTAGAAAATGAAAAAATCAAACTGCAGTATAATGCTAATAATATAAGTATAAATTTTTTATATTAACACCTAACCCAAACCCTAATCCTGACCCTAACCCTAACCCTAAATGTTATTTCTAAAAATTTGCATTTGTTATCAGTATTACACTGCAGTTTCTTTTTTATTTATCATACTTTTGAGATTTGTGTATAGTTGTAGTGTAGATCTAGATCATTCTAGATGTTCTATTGTTTTCTGTTGTGTTAACAATTTCTATATTTTTACTCAACCTACTTGAATATGGTATGCTTTTTGCTATTCTTGTCTAGTTTACCATTCAAAGGTTTAATACATTTAGCAATGCCCAAAGTATTGCTAACCTTTCCCTCAAACAATAGAAGGTTCATAGACTTTATCAATAACATGATCTTTTCCCTCTGTTCCACGTTTTTGTTCACTGGTGTTTTCGCTCAATTTTGTTTTTAAGCCATATAGATATTATTATTAGCTATCGTCAGGTTATTGTTTCTTACATCTTATTCCTACCTTCTGGATTCATTCCTTCTTGATGAAGTATTTTCTCCACTTCATCAAGAAGGAGGAGATTTAATTCTCCATGGATTTAAAAATATCCATTCTAAGATACAGGTTTTTATATTTTACCATCTCTGTAGTTTAGATGAAACTTATACAATTCACAGCCTATCATAATTTAATTAGGAGCATTTTTTATTGGTGTAACATATAATTTCTGACATCTTATATCCAGTGAAATATGATAGTTCACTTAGTAAAGTCTATGAGCAGAACAACTCTCAGACACTGTATGTATAAAAGGTATCATTATTTCCCCTTCACTCATTAATTCTGAGCATGGAAGTTTAATTGACAATCATTTTCCCCTAGCACTTTGAAAACACTATTCCATTTGTTTCTAGTGTCTATTGATGCTGTCAGTATAATTGTCATTTCTTTGTAAGTAATTTATCTATTCTTTCACATAGCTTTTAAGATTGTTAAGACATATATTCTGATTTTTTCATAAGCTTTAAAAATTTTTTTAAATCGTGGAGAGTTCCTGAGAAAGTAACAGAAAAAATTGGAGACTTCAAAAGTAGAGCAGTTCAGAAGATGATCATGTCAAAAGATGTGGTTATCATAATGGTGGCTGTGTGATTAAGGAATTTGATCTTCAGGAGGTTAACAAAAAAGAGAAACTGGTGTAATGGCTGCAATGTCCAGGTGAACTCAGAAATTACCTGGAGGATGACAGGAGGTGTCATAAAGACAAATGCTGAAATAGTTTAAAATATTCAATGCATGAAGAGAAAACTTTGAGAACTTGGCAAAATTAGGACCAAAGATAAAGGAAGGAAAAGGTTATGTAACTTTTTGATATGAGGCTCTAAGGAGCAGGTTTTCTCTTGTGGATGAAGTAGTAATGACATCAGGCAACATGGAGAGAATTACAACAGTTTGACCATTCACTGACCTAGAAAGAATGTCTTAGCTGAGACACTTCTTAGTAAGATTTTCTAATCCAAAATCTAACTTTTTTTTTGACTCTACATGGTTAAAACTTCCACTCGGACGAACTCAATCACCTAATTATTCCTGGTATCTTCTATGTCTTTAACTTAACTTTAAAACTGATATAATTATATAAGTTATTTTTAATTAGAAAGATTGTATTGAAAAAAGAGTTCAGCATATTTCATATTTCATAAAATTTGCATTTTTGTATTTTTATAAAATTCATATTTTTAATGTTTGTGTTTGGTTTGGGTTAGCTCGTTTTAAGGAGCTATCACTTTAATAATCTACTTTGAGCTCGCTATCCATGTAGAATACTTCAATTTCATTGCTGCTTTTATTTATTGCTTTGGGTACACTTACATTAATAATGGGGATCTGTGTTATAACAAGAGACAAGACAAATGCAACTTATTAAATACTGTTGTATTTCTAAACTTTCTTTTGCTTTTGTCTCTCAAGGAGTTTCCCAAATTCAACTTTGGAAAACTGATTACCTAATATAGAGATAACTTTATCTACTAAAGAAAAGATTCTACCCATGACTCCATTTGTTCCCGAGTCACTGGTGACTGGCAGAGGTACAGGCTTGTGGTCTGTGAATACACTTTCTACCAAGTATATTTCTTTTCTTATTAGTGACAGAAATTCTGTTGCACACAATTTTCGAGAACAAATTACTTTCACCTACTTTCATAATCTGGTGAAGCATGTACTCCCACTTCTTGATCTTAGCATAACATTGAATGGGCCTGGCTGCTGAATCTGAACGGATGCTCAGATTCCAAAGCACCAAAAAATTATATTAATAGTTGCATCTGAAGTATCATCAGTGGCACATTCTCCAGGTCTAGCCTTTAACTCTTGAGCCAACTCCTAGGTAATTCCCTGAATTAATATTAAGAGTATCCAAAACACATGTTGAACATCCAATCTCTCAAATATATATTTTTTATAGATCGCACTTAATTCTCTCTTGCAAATTGTATTCAATCACAAAGGCACAGCTCTTTAGCTTTTGTCCTTTATTAGTATATCTTCCCTGGAAAAATGTATCCTATACAAATTTGTGATCTTCTACCCGCTATAACTTAAAAAGATTTCTTTATTTTCTCCATGGTAATCACATTTTCTGTATGTCCTTTTATTAGCATTTTCAACCTATTTCTTTGCACATATTAAACATACAGGTAAGTCAAAAGTCAGAAATAAGCACCAAGACAGGAAATGCAATGTAGATGAAAGAAAAAAATGATGTAAGACACTACATGTCCCTACATGAAAGCCAATGCCATTTGTTTGAATTAGATAGAGTTAGGTACTTTTGCTCAGGATCATAGTTTGGAAGTTTGAGGATCTTTACAGTTTTAGACGCAAGCTTCACTGAAATAAAACTGGATACACAGATATATATTTCAGCCTTTTAGTCTGGGCAATGAAAAGTAGATGGTGCACAATGAGTCTCTATGCCAAATATCTTTCTTCTCTTGACTTTTTGCTGATGTGTTGCAAGCATTTGTGATTCTTTATGTGTATGTATGTGCATTCATGTACATAAACTTGTCTGCTAGTTATTACCCTGAAATCTAAAAATTTATATTGTATTGTTGCTCAGAATTATGAGAATAATATGTCTTGACACAAACAAATGGAAAAACATTCCATGCTCATGGATTGGAAAAAATCAATATTGCTAAAATGGTTATACTGCCCAAAGGAATCTACAGTTTCAATACTATTCCTGTCGAACTACCAATGTCATTTTTCACAGAATTAGAAAAAACTTTTCGAAAATTTATATGGAACCTAAAATGAGCCTGAATAGCTAAAGCAATCTTAACCAAAAAGAACAAAGTCTGAGGTATTACATTACCTGACTTCAAACTATACTATAAGGCTTTAGTAAACAAGACAGCATGGTCCTGGTACTAAAACAGACACATAGATCAATGGAACCCAGAACAGAGAACTCACAAATAAAGCCACACACCTACAACCATCTCATCTTTAACAAAATTGACAAAAATAAGCAATGGGGAAAGAACATCTTGCTGAATAAATGGTGCTGGAATAACTGGCTAGCTGTATGCAGAAGAATGAAACTGGACCCTTAACATTCACCATATACAAAAATTAACCCAAGATGGATTAAGGACATAAATGTAACTCCTCAAACTATAAAAAATTCTAGAAAAAAATGTAGAAAATACCCTTCTTGACATCAGCTTTTGCAAAGAATTTATATCTAAGTCCTCAAAAGCAATTGCAACAAAAACAAAAATTGATGAGTAGGACCACTACCTCAGTGACTAGACCATTCCTACCCCAAACTTTGGCGTCATGCAATATATCCATGTCATAAACCTGAACATGTACCACCTGGATCTAAAATAAAAGTTGAAATTTTAAACAGACATCTTTATTGTAGATCATTTGCAAATATAAAACCCAAAGAAAGAGAAATAGAATTCTAATACTCAGGGATAAGGTTGTTAAAATATTTGTGTATAAATTTGGCAATAAGAAGGATCTTTTAAGACTGTTTTTCACTATTTTATTATCTTTAGTAATACCATTAAGTATTTGCTCCTGTCATTAACTTTTTTTTCTAAACTGTTTTGTTATGTACTTTGTATACTATATATGATGGATCATATGTTTTTCTTTTCTTTTTCCTTCTCTATTAAGATATTCTGGTACCAGAAGGTACAATTGAAGACTCCCAGTAGGATAGGTTATACAAAACTCCATGTCTAGTTTCCTTTATATAATTCCCATACTATACAAAACTACATGTCTAGTTTCCTTTATATAATTCCCATACTACCTAACACAAGTTATTCAATATCATCCAAAATTGTTTTAATGATTATGATACTCTTACTTGTATTCTTTCTAACACAATGAAAATGAGATCCTCAATTCCGCTCAAACAAAATGTGTCTAATTATCTTTGCAAACTTCATGTTAGTGTTGAAAAACTAAATTTCTCCAAGACATTTTAAGGTCAAAGTTATCAATTTTAAAGTTACAACTTTTATTGAGACTTTGAAGTTCATTTCTTTCAATGAACTGAATTTTTTCAAAATTACTGAAAATATGGCAATAATTAATAACGTTGTAATGAAATTTGTAATTTTTGAAACCTCCCCAATTGCTTTTTTCTGGCAAGTGTGACTTCCATGATAAGAAGCAAAATATTGTGAAAGACCAGTGTGGCAGCCGTGGCTGTGCAGTGCTCAGGATTGCCCATAATAAAGAACCTGCTGTGAGGACTTAGTGGACAGCGTCCAGCTGCCACATCTTTAGGATCCACTGCAGCATTCATAAAGGCCCTACTATAACTGAATCTCTATCAGTTAATGACACAGCACTGTAGTGAAGCTAGTGTCCAGGTTTCGTTGGCCAACTCAGCACCCAACTAATGCTCAACTTTTGCTCTGGGGCTCCCCATTGGCTTGGCCAAGAATCTCCTAGAGTTGTACAGCAGTCTGGGGCTCCTGTTATTTAAGCTGTTTCTGTCTTCCCAATCTTCCATCATAGGTGTTAGACCTGCATCCTGGTCTGAAAGCCTTCCCTGCCTGCTTTCCTGTTCACTCAGCTTTATCTTTCACAGAAAATTCCCCCAATGAATTACTTGTGTTTCTTATTCTGTCTTGGTATCTGCTTCTAGAGGACCCAAACTGATACAGTTTTTATGAACCTAAATGGTTGTTCATGATTACAGTAGTCTATTTGTTGAGGTGTATGGCCAATACTATTTAATACATTGTATTTATTATTTTGTATTCATTCAAAAACAATTGTTTCTGAGTATATAAAGCAAACACTAAGAAGAAATTATCATGATTCAAAGAATGACAAAAATTAACTTTATCTCATTAATAGACCTCACCATAACAGTCAGTGAGAAATTCCTTCCAACTGCTAAAAAATGTTTTAAGCAGATGTTTCTTGCATTGTAACTTAGAAACTACCAATTTCAGGCTCCTGGATAATGAACAGGAAACATGTTACACGCCTGAGGGCTAAGCATCAAGAATTCTGGTCACCACTGCAGTTGCCAACCTCTGAGAAGAGACATTAGGAAATCCCATTCACTGTACTCTCAAAATACTATTAATTCCAATGGTTTTGTGGTCAAGGAACTCCCATTTCCTGTTGACAATTTGAGGAGGCTGTAAAGATCTGGCAACATAAAATGAGTTCTGTATGTAGCCAAATTACTACCATTTCAGTTCTTTGTAGGGTAAGAATACACTTCAAATGCATCCCCATTAAGACACGTTTTAAAATACGTAAAGTCCATCAGGAATAGTTTTATTCATAAATGTGAAATATATTTCATTCATTACATTTAAAAAGAAGAGACAATCTACATGTAGCAAACAGAGACAAGGAATTAGAATGAGGAGAAACATATTAACTCTTTATAATAACTCTTAGTTCAAAGAGAAGGATAAACCAAGAGATGCTGAACAGACATGGTGCTTCAAAAATCTGTTTTCAAACTATTGGTAGGGGAGCAGCAAAACCACTCTCTGGAAAACAAAAGGCAAGCTTGTTTACACTTGACATCTTCCTTTCCATTTTATCGAAGTCCAAAGATGCTCAGTCAATTACTTGCCATGCTCAAGTCAATCCTGCTTAGGTATTGATCCCTGTTGCTCACTAAATGAAAGCTTATAATTGAAGCAAACTTTGTCCCTCAGTTATGAAGCTGTTGCTTTGTCCCTTTATTGTTTATATGTCCCTCCTGACCATGTCATCTCCTCTGTACCTTGTTGCATAAGATATTGCAGGAGAGATTGGGATAGATAATCTCCACTGTGTCTCCATGGAACATACACATTTTCCATAATAACACAGTACATTACAAATGTTTGCTATGAATCTGTCATCAGAGGCAGTGATATCCTTAAGAACAGGCAACTGTATTCAATTCAGTGTGGGTCCCCAGTGCCTTGCCTGGTTCCTGATCAGCACTTGATAAATGGTTGCTGCAATTAAGAATCACCAAATACCACTTTTGAACCAGATGGCCTAGATAGTAAGCTCTCTTTTCTAGAGACTGTATTTCCAGCAAGTAATATAGTCTAATTAAGTAAGTTGTATTATAATCATGTTTTGAGATGTGCTTTCCAGCTCTAGGTCTGCATTTTGACCTACTATATTAACTTACTTATTGACTGTAACAGTGAGAGTCTTGCTGGTGCAATAGTGAGGGTGCTCTTGTGAGTACCTGACAGTAAATCAAACAGCAGAGTTCTGAATGTTTATGAGCTGACAGTAGTTTGGTGGCATATGCCTACACTGAGTAAATGCAGAGTAATTTATTTAAAAATAAGCTTTGAGAAAGAGTTGTTCAATATTACTTTTCACCTTTCTTATAATCTCAAAGTAGATTCTTATTTTTTTCATTCTGAAATTTCTTAGGAAATATATTTCAAATTAAGTGTTACATTACTTTGTAGAAGAAATTACCTTTGTTTCATGTGGTTAATATCTATGAAGCCCAAAATGTGAACAAAGAGCCTCAGATATCTGGAAAAATGACTTCCTTTCAAAGTTTTGAACTATAGTACTTCAATGTTTCAAGTTGATAAATTATGAGACAACTCCTTCTTTCAATATTTATATTAAAATCTTATAGCTGTCACCATGGAACAAAAAGACCCTTTAAGTAACATTTTTTCAAGAAGTCAGTGCCTAAGTTTGATGTTCACTTTCTTGCAAAGATAATAACTTTTGCTAATTTACAAACCATTTTCAGTAGACTATCTCCTGTCTAAAAAACTTCAATGTATTAAATATTTTCATTCAATTTCTGTGTCAAATTATTGCATGGAAATAAAAATATTTTAAAAACCAAAATTATCATGATCTGCTTATTTTCTCCATATATCTAATTTATAAATTATATGTTTATAAATTTGCATTTTGTAGTTCTCATGATAAACCTATAAGATAAATATTATTATTTCTATTTTAATGTTGGAAAACTGATACTTAGATATTTAAGTGACTTGAACATCTTACAGGTTGTAAATAACAAAATTGAGATTGATTTTATTATTTTATTTTTTTCAAAAGTGAATGACCTCAACCCCTCTTGCTTAACAATTTGTGGTATAGTGTAAAACATATGGACTATGGACAGAAAAGTTTGAAGTTGGATCAGTAAGAATTGAACATTGAGTAAAAGTTTTAAAATACCTTTAATTGTTCAAAGACCAAAGATGGATTTTTGAAAAACAACATCAACTTAATACAATGTACATTTACTGTTACATGTAGAAGGACATGTGGATTATCACTGATAAACTAATATTCTGCTAATTTCTTTTTTGTTCAATTTTTTTTACAACTGTCTGTCCCTGATAGCTTTTGTTAAAACTATGTGGCAATCCTAGTTGATCTGAACTGAAATAGAAAAGGTTCATGAGAAAATAAAAAGCTAGACCAACTAAAACACAGACTGAAATGAAAACAAGATCTTTTAGGAGAACGGTCAAAAAACAATGAATTGGTCCAAAATGTAGATAAAGGAAAGTTCATTTAAAAAAACTGATCAATAATGCAAAAGTTAGATGAAAACAATTAAAATGTATTACTCTCATGGTAGTAAATATGAATTAAATATAAAAATTTGGGGACCATTATAGTGAAAGTTTGTTTCTTATTTAAACACTTTAAATTAATCCAGTATTATTATTAATTTTAGCAATATAGGATTTGTTTTCTGCTCCAACCCAATCTGGAAGTATCTTTTTCTGCAAAAATAGAGGTGTTACAAACACTCCTTATCAATACAATTTAGACAGAACCCAGAGATGGTTTAGCAAGTTTCAGGGAGTCCATCTACAGCTACAGAGGGAAAACATAATTTCCCACCATAAAAAGTAGCAGCGAGCATAGTGCAGGGTGTTTTAGATAGAAGGAAAAAACCTCCTGGCAATATAATTGATAAAAATTATGCACTTAAAGTAACTTTTGAACAGTTGCAAAAGCAAATACTGAATATCTTTTGTAAAGAGCATATGTGATCTGAAACCAAGAAGACAAATCCCAGCTACTGCTGCCCTGGGAGAAGAGCTGTATGAGGCACACAGAAGAGAATGAACATCACCCACATGCCTTTCATATATTTATAACTTCCCATTTCATGGTCAAAACCAAAAACATCTTGACAGTAGCTACTGGAGTGGGTAACTTGACTTGGTGGGTTTCCCCGAGTCTGAAACTTTATGTCAATAGTTTGATGGCAGAGATACATGGTAGTGTCTCCTTTATAACCAAAGGGACTTGTTAAATAGATGCAATAAAAGCTTACAGAAATACATAAGGCATTATTAAGTCATGCATTTCTTATACGTAAAAACTTCTGATCTTATTGTTTATTTTAGAAACTTCATGCAAATGGGAAGAAATTGGGCTGAATGCATTCACATAGTATAAGATACTATTTAAAGAGAGAGGATAGGCAAACATGAAACTGAAATTTTCATAACAAAGAAAAAGATAAAAGAAAATAGTTACCCTTTGTTTAGTCTCTGTTAGAGAACAAATACTCATAATTAAACTGTAACTGGAATCAAAATGTAGTTTGGGATAAACAACCTAACTGGCCTCCAAGATAAATTACAGTACTCATTTCTCTATTGTTGGTTTGTTTTCTCCAGTTTCACCAGGAAGCAGGACTGTGGGGATTCTGTACTTGTATGTCACCACTAAGCAGCTTCTTTCATGCCAACAAGCTTAGTAACTTGTTTGAGTCTGGCCACTTGCACACCATCTGGAACTACTTCACATTCTTATTACAAAAAAGAGAAAGAGAAAAAAAGAATGCATGATGCTGCTGTGTTGCCTTTCATTTGTAGAGTTTGCTGGGCATCTTCCTGACTCAGGTGTTCATTCCTCCTGGAGTCACCCAACCAACCATAATATAGCTGACATTAGGTTCAACCACAGAATTAGTCCCTAGAAATATGTGAGTTCTGAATCTTGTGACATTCCTCTAGATTTCCAAGAAAAAAAATGTAGTTTTATTTTTAAACATTTAATTTTCAGTCTTTTGTGGGTTTCAATTTGTATTCCTCAATTTGCTGTAATTCTTCTGAAGATATAACCAATTTGTGAGGAAATCTGACCAAGGAAGTTTGTTCTAAAGGAGAAACAGCTTACATGGTATGTGTTTTGGCTTATAGTTTGCCATGGGTTGGGATGGAGTGTAGGTAGGGTGGGGGTGAGATAGGGAGAGGGTGAACAATGTGTCCATAGAGAGCTGAAGCTCTATTTTAATCAGGGATACCCCTTTCACCAAAATGTTTGTCGGTGCTCTACTAGTTATTCGTTTCTTAGGATAAACTAAAATGAAGAAACTAATAAAAAAGGTTCTTAGGTTAAAGCTTCATCTGTTTAAAATTTGTGGAAAACATATCTATTCATGACTTTATAAAATGCAAAAGTTTTAATACACACTTAATATTTTGATCTATAACTAACATTGAATAGTTTAATACAGAAAAAGAAAACTTTTGATTATATAGTGCTTATAGTGTAAAGAAACCTCCAAGTACTCTCTTTGAAAATTATTAACCTTAACTCTCCTGCCAGATTTTATGATTGTTTCATTTTCATACCGTTGCAAAGAAAAGAAGAGACCTTCTTTCTTGTTGACCTCCCTAGAGTAGGGGGTCAGTAATTAAGGCACACGTGCCAAACAGGACCCAAGGACTTATTTTCATTGGCATTCATGCTAGTAGACTCCTCTTGAGAGAATAATCACCAGCTGCATTTTGCAACATGTGAGAATGTGTGGGTGGAATAACCACTTCCCCACTTATCTTTTGCTAGTCTCAATATCACTATGCCCCACCTGGCTCACGAGAAGAACAGGTGCTACAAGCTAGGCTCACCACTTGTTTAAAGGATGTTAACCCCCAGCTGGGCCCACAGCCCGGTACTTGGTCCATTATCAGAATATGGGAGGTGTTGTAAAGTGAGAAAAATAAAACCAGTATTTATTGAGCAGTTTATACCTGTGAGACAGTCTTTATAATCTTCAGAGAAGTTAAAGAACTTTTCCAGGATGACAGAGTCACAACAAGTTTGGGTGATTTGAACCTATAGCTTCTAATTCCAAAGTCTATTATAATTTCACTATATATATTTCCATGTCTTCCTAGAAGAAAACAGCTATTATTTTTCAGAAGAAATATCTTAAACTGTTATCCTCAGAAAGCAGTGTTCCAAAGGCTGATAATTTGTCATAAAAGAAGTGTGTTGTGATAAACTGTTTGGAGATCTGTGAGTTAAAATTCAATCTCTCCCCACATAGACTTCTTGGAGCCTTTAGTATGTAAAAATGCATTGAGAATCTTTGAGAGAGATCAGGATGGCTAACTTATTTTCATGTGATGCATCTGTTAATACCTCCTTGAATCTGTATGCTACTGAATGGCATGGGAACTGCTTTGAAATGTCTAGGAAGTCCATTCCACTTATCATGGGTGAAAAATGACTTTGTGCATTTGGATAATAATTATAAATGATATTAAAATAATCATTTGTGATATGAAAAAATAGAATAGAGAAAGATTATTTATCTATGCACTACAAAACTTATTAGTTGAGTTTGAGGTGACCTATTTATTTGATATTTGAATGTGACATCTTTATTTTCTCAACAAAATTTTAATTGGCAATGTGTTCTCATGGCAACAAAACTTATCACAATTCCAAACAAAGAATGAATGTGTAAGGACTAAAGAAAGCTTTTTGTGAATACTGTTCTACTTGCAGGAAACTGTTAATTTATTATTAAAAGACAATTTTTAGTGCCTACAATAAGCCATCCATGGTAGTAGATGTAGAGAAGAACTTAACATGGCCTTTGAGGGCCTCATTGCCTAAATGGAGAAACAAGTTTACTACAACAAATAAAACAAGCTCCTTTTGAGAGAAAGTATCAGCCTATGTTCCCAAACTAGCCCATATCAGCTGCCTATATTACATAGCCAATTCAATGGTAACATTATTCTTGTGGCCTGCTGAGGATTCAGTAGAAGTCAAAATTTGTCATGAGTTTTCTGTGTTTGAGGCAAAAAATATTCCTCGCTCCCAGTGTTCTTGGTCATTAATGATCTTTGTAAAAATTTTGATCAGCCAGCTATTGGTTTGTAGGCTTTTTGTACCCCACCCTGAAAGGTATAGGTGCTCCTTCATCTATCCCTGGGACCTGGGTGTGGATGAGGAGCCCAGCCTGTTGTACCTGATAGCTGGCTGCAGACTGTCCTCAGAGATCTTTGCTTAGGAACACTGGATCCCACTTCTGTTTTCTTATATTCTACTCTTCCCTCTGCTCCCTCATGAATTTGATTTTGTGGATACCCAGTGCCTTATTTGGTAATAATACCAAATACCCCTAATTTTTCTACTGTATTCTTTCTTACATGTCATTGCATGCTTTGTTTATGGCAGGGTAACCTGTACCAACACCCAGCTTATAGACACAAACCTATACACAGAGAACTAGGGAGGACTGAAAAAACCCTTAAGAAGAAAACCTTAACTCTGTCTGGAAGGTCAAGAAAATATCAATGAGACCGTTTAAGCAGTCTTGGGAAATGAATGAGAATTGTGATAGGTAACACTGAGGGTGGTAGTTGGAAAGAAGACATTCTAGACTGAATGAACACCTTATGTAAAAACACACAGTGAGAGTGGTGAACAGCAAAACTGTTATATGACTAGAACATAGAATGTTAAGGTAGGATGTGGTTGAACATGCCAAAAAGTGTGCATAAACACATGGACATTAAATATCAAAAAGATTTTATATAGAAGTAACAAATCATATATAAATCTTAGTAATTTTACTCTGGCATTGACTTAGAGGGTACAAATTGAAGGTAGGTATGCCCTTATTTGAGAAATTATGTGAGTCTGAACTTAACAGTTGAACCAAGATTGTACTACAAACATTATGATGTAAACATTAGAAAACAGGATTTTTTTTTGCTTTGATCAAAATTGTATATTCAGCACCCAGAAGAGTACTTGGCACATAAATTGAATGACTGGATAGCCAGGAGAGTACTCATTATTTAGCTGGCCATCCATCCATCCATCCATCCACCCACCCATCTATTCATTTATATGTCCATTTGTTCGTCAATCTCTCAAACACTAAACACCTGCATTGTGCATATCCTAGGCCTTGAAAGAATGCATAAAGTAGGGATAAAATATGGAAAAGGACATAAACTTAGAAATATGAATGTTTAACAGTGGGATGAAGAAAAGGATCACTGAAAGAGGCTGTAAAAAAGCAGAAAGGGAGGAGATGAAACTAACAGTTTGTTAAAGTGAGAGCTAAAGTTATACAAGATTTCATGAATGACAAGGTAATTGCCAGTATTTTCGTGCTTAGATCAGGTAATGATACTAACTGATGGTCATTGTCCCTCGGATTTCTTCTATTTTTTATTGAGATATAATTTACAATCAATAGAAAGAACAGACTCTAAGAGTATGTAGTTCAATGAAATTTGGCAAGTATATACAATTGTGTTACATACTTATCAAAATATGAAATACTTCTGTCTTTCCCCAAAGTTCTTTCATGTTCCTTTCCAGTCAATTCCTCCCACACAAAGCTGAGCAGTGCTCAGATTTTTTTCACCATGATTGCTTTTGTCATTTCCTGTCTCCTGTCCTATCACATGCGTATTGGACCCTTGACACTGTGCCCTAACTCACTGTTTCAGTGGTTTCCTCTGTGTGCTTTAGACAGTTTTATTAGCTGATCTTATACAATATCCACTCTGCTGTTAAGCCCATGCATTTGAGATGTTTACTACAATTATATTATTTTTCAGTTTTAAAATTTCTACTTGTTGTTTTCTTTTCCTAGTTTGTATTTCTCTGTTGAGATTTCCCATCATTTCACATATTATCTGTTTTTAAAAAATCCTTGAATATATTTATATTAACTTTTTTTTTTTTTTTTTTTTTGAGACAGAGTCTCACTTTTTACCCAGGCTGGAGTGCAGTGGTGCAGTCTTGGCTCACTGCTAGCTCTGCCTCCTGGGTTCACGCCATTCTCCTGCCTCAGCCTCCTAAGTAGCTAGGACTATAGGCACCTGCCACCACACCCGGCTAATTTTTTGTATTTTTAGTAGAGATGGGGTTTCACCGTGTTAGCCAGGATGGTCTCGATCCCCTGACCCTGTGATCCGCCTGCCTTGGTCTCTCAAAGTGTTGGGATTACAGGCGTGAGCCACCGCACCTTGCCTATAATAACTATTTTAAAGTCACTGTGTGCTTATTCCAATATCTGGGTTATGCATGGGTTTGTTTTTATTCACTCAAATTCTCCTGGCTATGAGTTACATTGTAAAATTATTCTTTGTATATCTAGTAAATTTTTATTGAATTTTGCATATTGTGGATACTATATTTTTTACAGTGTAAATTATAATGTCTTCTTTTAAAATGTTGAGATTTGCTCTAGCAGGCAGTCAATTTGCTGGCAGCTCAACTTGATCCTGTTGAGGCTTACTTTCAGGCTTTGTTACAATTGGTCTAGATCCCTTACTTTAGGGGTAGACTTGACCTACCATTAATGACTTTCTAGGATCTCAATAGAATAATTGGGTTTTTCGGTGAGTAGTCTCACTCCAACCTGTTTAGCACTAAGTACTCTCTGCAATTCATCTCACAGTCCCTCAGTAAGTGGTTTCTCAAGCCTTGTGTATATATAGCACATTATTTGGCCAATGACTGAAGGGGACCCTTTTGCCGATGCCTGAGGTGCCTTCTCTATGTTGCTCTCTGCTTTCTAGTACTCTACAAATTCTGGCAACTTTGGTATTCCCGAACTCCCATCGCCTTTTTTTTTTTTTTTTTTTTTTTTGTCTGCCTGGAAAGACCACTGCTTTCTGTTTGGACTCTAGTTCCATGTGCTGAAATGTGAAAAATATCCCCAGGCTGAATTCTGGGGTGAATGTAAAGCAAATTAGGGGTGTTTCCCTTTTATTATGGCTATCATTAAAAAGTCAAAAAATAACAGATGCTGGTGGGGTTGTGGAGAAAAAGAACACTTATCCACTGCTTGTGGGAATGTAAACTAGTTCAACCATTGTGGAAGACAGTGCAGCAATTCCTCAAAGACCTAAAGACAGAAATACCATTCGACCCATTAATCCCATGCACATGTATGTTCATTGCAGCACTATTCACAATAGCAAAGACATGGAATCAACCCAAATGCCCATCGATGATAGACTGGATAAAGAAAATGTGGTACATATACACCATGGAATACTATGAAGCCATAAAAAATAATGCAATCATGTCCTTTGCAGAGACGTGGATAGAGCTGGAGGCAATTATCCTTAGCAAATTAACACAGGAACAGAAAACCAAATACCGCATGTTTTCACTTATAAGTGGGAACTAAATGATGAGAACACATGGACACATGGGGAACAACATACACTGGGACCTATCAGAGGGTGGAGGGTGGGAGGAGGGAGTGGATCAGGAAAAATAACTAATGGATACTAGCCTTAATACCTGGGTGATGAAATAATCTGTACAGCCAACCCCATGACACAAGTTTACCTATGTTACAAGCCTGCACATCCTGCACATGTACTCCTGAATTTAAAAGTTAAAAAAAATCAATTCCCTGGTATTGTCTGTCGTACAATGTCTCAAATCAGCTGATTTTTACATTTTGCCTAGATACACAAATGCCTATGGTGGGAAGATTATTCCCATATCCAATAATCTGTCCTAGCCAAGACCAGAAGTCCTGTCCATTGGTTTCTGTACTTGGAATGTTTTTGGTGACCTGAATAGTTTCAGCATCATGGAATGGCAAATGTCTGCTCTTCACCTTACTTCCTGACTTTATTTTTTCCTTACCCCAGGTCTCTGTAGTTTCTGAGAACCTTATGTAGATTTATTGTACTTAAATCTTATAAAACACAGTACTTATTAGCTCTGTTTTTACATAGCTGTTGATGTTATTTGCATTAATTAATATATGATCCATATTAGCATATATTTCTCTAAGTCACAACTTTTTGGCTAACCAGATAGCATTTTTGGGTTACCTAGAGCAAAGGCAGATAAGAAACAAATAAATATGTTGGTGATGGATAGAGTCAGCCAATGCTAAATCTGAAATTTGGGTCATTTTCATGGTCATCAAATCATTGCTTACATTTTTTTTTTCACTTGCAGATCATTTGGGGGTTTTCATGTGAACAATCTGTATTCACCAGTTGTTTTAGAGTCACACACACATAGCTTTAAGTTATGCATAACAGTGCACCCTGCCAAATGACTACACAGCTGGAGGGTTCACTGGGGGTAGCAGCTGGGTGAGGATCCTCAAAAGATGGGTATGTACTGAAGGAGTTCCCTCTTGCTTTTGTACCCGGAAGGCTCACTATTAACATCCTGAAAACACAAAGAAGAGATTAGAATTTATTGTTCATTTTCCCCCCATGGGGAAGCCATGTATGTTTATGCCCTAAAGATTGCACATTTGAAAGAATAAGCCACTTTCATTGTGGAATTAACCAAATTGACTATCTTCCCAGTTTGAATTCACTGTATAACTGTTAACCCACTTCACATTGTGCTTTAAAGTCTCAGCCAAAGGATTCTAAAGGCCTGAATTTCCAGGTTTTCTCGTCTGTAATACAAATACCAGTTAAAGACATAATATCATTTTATGCTTCTCTCAAAGGGCATGTAGCAAAGCTGGCTAGCACTACTGCAACATTTTAATTACTGGTGCTTACCACAATTTGCAATAATTACAGTTCATTTTGTAAGCTGGTTCTTAATTGCAGACACTGCTAAAGTAACAATTGAATAAAAAATAAAGTGCACTTTCGTGTGTGTGTGTGTGTATGTATGTATACATAAAATATGACTGAGAAAGATGTGAGCTTATAAAGAAATAAAAGAGGTTAGTGTCTTCTACTAGACCAATTATGAAAACAGAGATATTAAAAACAATTTTTAAACCAAAGACTTAGAACTAAATTTAATCATCAGGACAAGTTATTCCATCCTTTATGGTATTTTTTCTTTAGCATAATTCCTAAATTCTATGCTTGTTTATATTAAAGAAAGCTCAGTGAGTGAAATCTAGTACGGATATATGTAAACTCTCAATAAACTTCTATTCATTATCAGGTGGCAGGTCTCAAAGATAGAGATAACTCCTATATAAAAAGAATTTTGCTCTAAAAAGAAAAAAAATTCTGGAAAACTCTGTTCTTGTTCATGTTTCACCTTAGTAAACACCATTTTACCCTATATCAATTTAGATAATGTGAGGGATAAGAACGTTTGGAGGGGGAAGAAGTGAAGGAGATCCTAAGAAAAGCTAAACTGAAGTGAAGGAAATGTTCAACCAGAGGGTACACACTCTTGATAAGAAAGCACCTTTGGTTCTAATTTGTTGAAATGAACATGAAGATGGTAGCTCTCTTTCAAAAAATTGACTGTTCTCCTCACAAGTATTATAATTGTATTAACATGATGGATCTTTAGCAAATTAATAATGTTTAATCTCCAGTATTCTTGAAGGGAACATTTTAAGTCAAAGAAATAAAACAAAACAAACAAAATAGCACCCTATTCCCCCTGAAAAGAGATCCTCTAAGTAGGTGGTTTTGATTAGAGCTAGCAGTAATTTCAAAAGTGATACATCTCTTAAAATGGAAAAGAAATTTCCCCAGATTAAAGCAACACTGTGATCCTTTTAAAAAAGAGGACATGTTGGCCCTTAGAAAGAAAAGAATGCTCTATTCACAGTTTGAATGTCTTGGCCCTTCATAGAGTATTAATAGTATGAATGAGGGAGGGTGACCCAGTGATAAGGAGTAAGGCTGTGAAATCTTAACCACACTTTGCAGCTGTTTGATCATGGGTAAGTTAACTTATTTGTGCTTAAGATTTCTATTTGTTAAAATGAAATATTGTAATAGTTACCTCATAGTTGTTTTTTCTTTTTTTTTTTTTGGTAAGAATTAAATACGTTTATATGTATGAAGAACTTAACAGTGTTGCTCATAGTAAATGTGTAATAAGTCAAAAAGCAATGAAAGTGATCTAAAACAAGAAGGGGGAGTGAATAGCTTAGAACAGTAATACAGTCTGTCACTGTTTTCAAAGACCCTTTCTGTTCCTTGGAGTTGTAAAGTGCCAATTTTTCCCTAAAGTTAATTCAAACATTTACTCCTCCATGAAGCCTTTCTTGATTTCTGCAATCAGGGGTTCATTGCTCACATCATTCGTATTCCCACAGGATGTCATTACTTTCTGATGACACATATAGCAGTGTGCTATAATTAGTTTCAATATTATGCTGGTAACGTCTAACATACGTAATTTGAGGGGAAAAAAGTCCTAGATTCCCATGTTTGCCAAATTCCATGGTGTTAGTAATCAAACATGGCTGATTTCAAGTAACCACGGTGATATAACAAAATGTGGAACTGGAAAGAGATGTGCAGTAGGAAAATATTACACAGGATTTTAAGCATATAGAAATAATGGATGTAAATAAACTCAAAAGCATAGATAGTAGTAAAATAATAATGAATACTGCAGTAAAATAATGTTCAAGTGATGAATTTGAATATTTATTACCTGTATTTTTAATATAAATTATTTAATTTTAAGTTTACACAATTTAATTTTTTAGTTATGTCAATGTTTAACAACCAGCTTGCAAAATTCCTGGATTGTTAGTAGTTGGTTCTCATGAGCAGATACAAAATGGCTACAGTTTACTACTGTAATTTTTTTGTCAGCGCGTATTTTTCTGCCAAAGATTGGGTATCCTTCAAAGATAAGGGCTGTGTATTCATCATTTATTTATTTAAAGTGCCTAATATGACACCTGGCATTTGGGGGGGTAAATTAATGCCAATTGAATAAATGAGTGAAGAAAAAGTTAATAAACAGGCATTGCAGGGAATAGTATGAATGGACAGAAACACAACTTCACTGGACTGCTGTCCCTTCTAATTAAGGAATTCTGGAAACCTCAGAATTCATACATACCTTGCTCCACAAAGATGATAAAAAGATTTTTAAAATAAACAAATAAATCACATTGCCACATACATGACTCATAGAGATATTTCCCCAGATATATCCATGACTCTTAAAGATTTAATCTCTCTGTGTGGAAAACATACTGAGCTCTATCATTATTAGTGATAATAATGACCATTTATTGAGTATTATGTGCCAGTCATTAAGTTTTCTTCTTATATTATTTGATCCTCATAGCAACACTATGAAGTAAATTTTATTATTATCCCCATTTTATAGATGAATACACCAAGACTTAGAGAAACCAAGAAACTTGGCCAATATTTCAAAACCGGAATTAATTACAGACAGATTTTTATTCTGATCTATTTGATTTTAGAGTCTTTTCATTCCTAAGGGACAGAGTTTGGGGAAAGTTTAACCTTCTCAATCTATAGTAAAAGACATTTATTGCCTTAATAAACTCCTTAGTTACATACGCCCATATTTTATTTCTAAAGCATTCAGAGACTTTTGTTTAACATACTGTTATACTTCCTCTGGGCAGAACTTTGCTTTAATAATGCCAGACTTGGCAATAACACCAGCATATTGAATATTACTGTCATTCTCCAATTCATCAGTTATTTTCCAGTTATTGATTCCTGATAATAGCCTTTTTCATCCTTAAGCCAAAAAGTAGTTCTAAATATGCTGATAAGAAGAAAAATCTCTGTTGCTTTCATCAAGAAATCTTCCTAAGGATTTTGTTTATTTTGTCTGGTTTTTGAAGGCTTGGTTAATAAAGACTGCTCACATGTTGAATTTGCTAATATTTTTCACAAAAATAGTAAATAAACCAATTAATAATATTCACAATAGTTCAGGAAAATAATCTTTAATGATATGGCAAAAGATGACTCAGCTTCCCACTCCTTAAGAAGGAAGCAGCTGAATTGTATAATTGAATACCAAAATAGAGTCATGGATCAGGGAGGTAAAATATGAATACTTTTCAACAATTTGATGAAAAATAGGCCTAACACAGAGTTTTGAAGAAATTGCTTATCAATCTGTCAAAATGATATTTTTCTTAGTATTATAAACATGACTGCCTGCTGAGTTAAGGACACAAGGCTAAAATTAGCAAGATAACAAATATGGTTGGATCTTCCTAATTGAAAGAATTGCCATAATAACAATGGGGAATCTATTGTATATTGGCTTCTATACTGCCACACAACTGGTTTTGCCCCTGACAAATGTGAAATAGCATTATACCTTGTAGTGGCAAGTAAACTGCCTTGCTTAAAGTAGCTGTTCTATAAATATTTCTTGAATTACATAACTAAATTGGATCTGGGTTTTTAGAAATAGCTTATATTTATAGTAAAGAATCTTATATTAAGGATCTTATATTAAAATGAAGAGCAAACTTACCACAGCTTAAATAAAATTCCAGTTTGGCACATTTTAGCATTGCATAGTTCCATATATAACAGGTCATAAAGTTGGTTTCAAAACTTAACCATGGTTTTTGATTCTGAGCAACACATAGTAAGCACACTTCATCCTTATCTATCATTGAATACAGCTATTAATTTTTGAGAGAATGCATGGAGTAGCTATCTAAGGACTATGAAAAGTAAACAGCAGACAAATTGGAGAATACCAAAATTTGGAATCAACCACTAGTGGTGAGTTTACCATGCATGTTTTTCCCCTCCAGTAACTCCCTGACCTTGACCCAACACATTCTGAAACTTGGAAGTGGGCATTAGCATGGATAGAGAAAGCTCCAAGAGAAACTCTCTGGTTCAGACTTGTGGGATAGGAGTATCCTGTTAGCAACAGTGTCACAAGGGACATGCTTTACTGCTCTGAGGGAGGATAACCTTCCTCTCCAGCCACAGGAGCTGTAGTTTCAAGGGGGATGGGCAAATCTCTGTTTCTTTTTTATCTCTCTGCCCTCCTGCTGCTTGACCCTCGATGAAGCTGCAGTAATAGAAAGTGCACAATGGAGAAGGATCATGAAATCTTCAGCTTTCTGGACAGAAATTACTGGGGACATCAATGGAGAGAGAGAAATTTGGGAAGACAACACATGAAGTTGCTTACAAACTCTTGGCCTCACCCCTGAGCTTTGTATACATGAATCTTACCCTATATATTATACTAAGAACTCTGGAAACAGAAATAAGACATAGAGCAACACCAAAATCTCAGACTGACCACTGGGTGTAGCAAATATAGAAAGATATAAACAACATTTCAAAGACTTTGAAAATGGAACTGACACTAAAACCACAACCCTCAAAAGGCTAGGCAGAACTTGGGGCCTGAATTCACTAAGTTGACTGCCTGCTAAACTAAATATCAACATTCTTCTTAGGACTTAACCAAGACCCAGACAATCATAACATAATATTTAAAATGTCTAGAACACAATTCAAAATTTCTCAGCATAGGAAGAACCAGGAAAATATTTAATGTCATGGGAGAAGATAATTAGCATGTACCAACACCCAGATGACACAGAAATCAGAATAATCTGACAAGGACTTTAAAATAGCTATTAGAAAAATAATACAAGAAGTAAAGGCAAACACTCTTTTTGAAATGAATAGGATGATAGAAATTATCAACAGTCATAGATCAAAATAATAATAAAATATATTTTACAACTAAAAATTAAAATATGGGAATAAGAAAAACCTCATTATTATTGAAAAGGTTCAATAGCAGAATAGAGATGACAAAGTAGAAGATAACTGAACTTGAAGATAGATAATTAGAAATTATCCATTTCAAACAGTAAAGAGAAAATTAATTGGAAAATAAATGAACCTAATCCCACAGACCTGTGGGACAATACCAAAAGTTTTAACATTCATGTCATCGGAGTTCTAGAAGGAGAAGCAGAAGAGTGTGATGAGAAGAAATATTTGAAAAATATAATGGCCAAAAGCATCTCAAGTTTGGTAAAACATAAAAATCAACAGCTTTAGGCCGGGCACTGTGGCTCATGCCTATAATCCCAGCACTTTGGGAGGCCGAGGCGGGCAGATCATGAGGTCAGGAGATCGAGACCATCCTGGCTAACACAGTGAAACCCCGTCTCTACTAAAAATACAAAAAATTAGCCGGGTGTGGTGGCAAACGCCTGTAGTCCCAGCTACTTGTGAGGCTGAGGCAGGAGAATGGCATGAACCCGGGAGGCGGAGTTTACAGTGAGCTGAGATCGCGCCACTGCACTCCAGCCTGGGTGACAGAGCAAGACTCTGTCTCAAATAATAATTTAAAAAAATCAATAGCTTTAATACACTCAGTAACTCCAAAACAGGATAAATGTAAATAAATCCAGGACCAGACAGATCATAATCAAATAGTTGAAAACCAAACACAAAGAAAAGTTTTTCAAATCAGTCAGAGAAAAATGATGTACTACTTGGAGCAGAATGATGATTTGAATGATTGTGAAAATCTCATCTGAATCCATGGTGGCTAGGGGAAGTGTAAATGCTAAAAAGAAAAGAACTATCACCCTAGAATTCTGTATCCCATGAAAATATTCTTCAAGAATTAAGATGAAATAAAGACATCTAAAGTGGAGGGAAACTAAGATAATTCATTATCTGAAGGCCTGCTCTAAAATAATTGTGAAAAGAAATTCTTCACAAAGAGGGAAAATTTGATCAGAAGCAAAAAACAACTTGAAAAAAGATAAAGAAACAGAAATGATAAAGATATCAATAAATATAATAGACTATATATACCTCTTCAGTTTTAAAATACTTTTCACAGTTGAAAGAAAAATTAAAACATTTTTGAAAAGGTTCTCAATGTTTGTAGGTATAATATATAAGTCAATATAACATAGGCTGGACGTGGTGGCTCATGCCTATGATCCCAGCACTTTGGGAGGCTGAGGCAGGCAGATCACTTGAAGTCAAGAGTTTGAAACTAGCTTGGCCAACATGGCGAAACCACATGTCTACAAAAAATACAAATATATATATTGAGTAAAAAAAAATATACTCAAACTGAAACACTGGCTCTTCCTGGCTCTAGAGCTTGTCAGCTTTCTAAATGGAACTACACCATTGTTTCTTCTAGTCCTCAGGCATCAAGACTTGAACTGCAACTACACCATTAGTATATTAGTCAGCTCAAGCTACTATAACAAAATACCATAGACTGTGTGGCTTAAACAATAGTAACTTATTTCTCACAATTCTGGAGGCAGCAATGTCCAAGATCAAGGTGCCAACTGATTTTGTTCCCCGGTGAGAGCTCCCTTCCTGGCTTGTAGATGGTGGCTGTCTTCTTGTGTTCTCATATGGTAGAGAGAGAAAAAGAGAAAAGAAGCAAGCTCTATGATCTTTCTTCTTATAACAGTACTAATGCCATCATAAGGGCCCATCCTCATGAGCTTATCTAACCCTAATTACTTTACAAAGGCCCCATTTCCAAATAGCATCACATTGAGGGTTAGGGATTGAACACATGAATTTGAGGAGATGCAACTCAGTCCATTCCATAGAAATCAGTTTTCCTGTTTATTAGACCTTTGAATTTGGACTGGGACTACACCAATAGCTCTTGAGGGTCTCCAGCTTGCTGACTGCAGATCTTGGACTTGTCTCCACAGAAGATAAGTACATCCTGTTTGTTCTGGATGTGTTTTTCACAAGAAACTTACTTCAAATTAAGGATATATTTAGATTTTAAAGTAAAAGAATGGAAGAGAGCAGGGCACTTTGGTTCACACCTATAATCCCAGCACTTTGGGAGGCCGAAGGGGGAGGATCATGAGGTCAGCAGTTTGAGACCAGCCTGGCCAACATGGTGAAACCCTGTCTCTCCTAAAAATACAAAAATTAGCCAGGCGTGGTGGCAGGTGCCTGTAATCCCAGCTACTTGGGAGGCTAACGCAGGAGAATTGCTTGAACCTGGGAGATGGAAGTTTCAGTGAGCCGAGACTGTGCCATTGCACTCCAACCTGGGTGACAGAGCAAGACTTCATGTCAAAAAAAAAAAAAATGGAAAAAATATAACATATAGATGTCAATCAAAAGAAAACTAGATAGAGTGATTATATTAACATCACAGATAATAAAATTCAGGACAAATATAATTACCAAGGATAAACATAAGCATTGCATAATGAAAAAAAGAGTTAATTCTCCAAGAAGATGTACTAATTCAAAATGTGTAGGCACACACAAGAGTTCTGAAATTCAGGAAGCAAAAACTGAAATTCAGGAAGCAAAAATTCAGGAAGACAAAACTGAACTGAGAAATAGGTAAGTTCACTATTACAGTTGGACACTTCAATATTCCTTCTTTTTGGTAATCAATAGAACTATCAGACAGAATATCAGTGAGAATGTAGGGTAACTGAATAGCACCATAAACCAATTAAATCTGATAAATATTTATACACTACTCTAACAACAACAAAAGAATACACTTTTTTTTTTTTTTGGAAAGAGTCTTGCTTTATCACTCAGGCTGAAGTTCAGTGGCCTGATCATAGCTCACTGGAGACTTGAAATACTGGGCTCAAATAATTCTCTTTCCTTAGCCTTCCAAGTAGATATGGTACCCGCCACCATGATAGGCTAATTTAAAATTTTTTATTATTATTATTATTATTTGTAGCGATGGGGTCTTGTTTTATTGCCCAGCCCGCTCTCAAACTTCCTGGACTCAAGAAATCCTCCCACCTTGGCATCCCAAAACACTGGGATTACAGCTGTAATTCACTGTGCCTTGACAGAATACATAATCCTTTTACATGTATATGGAATATTCACCAAAATAAATCATATAATGTGTTATAAAATAAACTTTAACACATTAAAAGAATTTAAATCATGCAGAGTATGTTCTCTGACTTTAATGGAGTTAAATTAGAAATTAATGGAAGAAAGAAAAGGAACATCTTCAAACACTTGGAGATGAGTCAAAGATAAGCTCTCAAAGCATATATGGAAATATTTTAGCCCTAATAAAAATTAAAATACTACATATCAAAATTTGAACTCTGTAGCAAAAGCAGTGCTTAGAGGCATACTTATATCATTGTGCTTATATCAGAATAAAATACATGTCTCAAATCAACAATCAAGATTTTCATCCAAAGAAACTGGAAAAAAGTTAACCCACAACAAGAATAAGGAAGGGTTAATAATAAGAGCAGGAACAAATTTGAGAACATAAAAAAATTGAGAAAATTAATGACACTCTAAGCTTATTTTTTAAAAAGAATAATAAAAGTAACAAACCATTCACCAAACAGATCAAATAAAACAAAATATGACAAAAGTTGTGATTATTAGAAATGAAAAGTTGGCTATCACTACAGAGCCTGTATTACTGTATCAATAATAACAATTATATTATTCTAAGGAAATATACAAACAGCTCTCTGTATATAAGTTAACTAATCTAGATTAAGTGAAACAATTGCTTGCAAAGCATTTCTCTTATGATTGGAACGGATTTGTATATTCAAAGTTCACTCAAACTGATATAACATAAGTACTCATATAGCTACTTTTAAAAAATTGAATTCATGGTTAAACTTTTCTGAAAAAGAACTTTCTAGGCCCAGATGGTTTTACTGGCAAAATCTAGCAAACATTTAAAAGAGAAATAATGCCAATTTTATGAAATTCTTTTCTAAAATAAAAGGAAGGAAACACTTCCCAACTGATTGTATGATTGGAAAATTACCCCAATAACAAAACCAGATTGAGAAAGAACAAAGGGAGAAAAAGTACAGATACATACTTTTTGTGATCAAGGAAGCAAACATCCTCTACAGATGTCAATAAATTATATACATCATGGCCAAATTGGGGTTTATTGTGAGAATGCAAGGTTAATTCATCACTCAAAAATCACTGTAACCCACCATTTAACAGTCTAAAGAAGAAAAACCACATGATTTTATCAATTAATGAAAAAATGAATTTGACAAAATTCGACTTCATTCATGATAAAAAACCAATCAACCAATCGACCAACCAACCCACCCCTCTGGGCAAACTAGAAATAGAAGAAAACTTTCTCAACCTAATAAGTACATTAACAAGAATACTAAAGGTGACATCATACTTAACAGTGAAAGATTTAACATTTTCTCCCTAAGTTTGGGAAGAAGAAAGGATGTCCATGTTTACTACTTCTATTTAACATTATATTAAGAACTCAACTCAAGGCAATAAAGCCAGAAACAGAAATGAAAGATACACAGAATGGAGAGGAAGAAATAACTGTTCCTGTTCACAGATGACGTGATTGTTGACATGGAAAATTTTAAGAAATCTGTAAAAAACTTCTAGAAATAGTAAATGAGTTTCAAGGGTACAAATACAAGGTCAACATATGAAAATTTATTGCATTTCTGTATACTATTGAACAACTGGGAAATAATTTTTACTATTTATAATAATTCCTTTCCAACTTTATATGCATACTTAGGTATAAATCTAACAAAACATGTACAAGATTTGTATGCTAAAAACTACACATGCTGATGAAAGTGACCAAAGAGGACCTAAAGAAATGCAGAGATTCCATGTCCATGGATTAGAAGTCTCGAAAGAAGAAAGTCTCTATGTTTTCCCCCCAACAATTTATATATTTAGCATAATTATGCCCCAGCAGAAGTTTTGTAGATACTGACAAAATGATTTTAAAATTTATAAGAAATGCGTGGGAACCAGAAGAGTTAAGGCAATTAAAGAAAAAGAATAACATTGGAGGAATCACTACCTAATTTTAATACACCCAAAAAATACAACAATGACGACTATAGTCATTGTGAGGGGATGTACACATTAAGCAAAGAACAAAATAGTTTAGAAATAGAAATATGTATATATGGATAATCGATTATTTTTAGTTTTTAACAACTTTATTGAGATATAATTTATATATCTTAATGTTCACTCGTATAAACTTTACAGTTTAATGGTTTTGGTGTATTCACAAAGTTATATAACCGTCACTTAAATCTAATTTTAGAATATATTCACCACCTCAGAAAGAACCCCTATTGCCTTTTGTGATTGCTCCCCACTTCTCTGTTCCCCCAGCCCTCATAACCACTACTCTACTTTCTGTAGCTATAGAGGTGAATATTCTGGACACTTCATATAAGTGGAATCATATAATTAATGGTCTTGGATTTGGAAGGAAGTAGGTGTGGCTATAAAAGAGCAATATGAAGGATTCTTGTTGTGATAGTAATGTTTTTTATGCTAACTGTGCCATTGTCGATAGCCTGGTTGTGGTTTTATACTATAGTTTTGCAAAATGTTATCATTATGGGTCACTGTGTAGAGGGTACACTGTACCTCACTGTATTATTTCTTGTATGTGAATGTACAATTATCTCAAAATTAAAAGTTTAATATAAAAAAGAAAACTACATGACCAAAAATGCTGACTGGATTTCCCTACCTTGATGCTGACCTTTTAGGTTGAATAATTCTTTGTTGTGGGGGATTGTCCTGTGCTTCACCAGATGTCCAGTGGCATCCCTGGTCTCCAGTCACTAGATGCTGGTGGTAGTCCCCTCTCGTATGACAACCAAAAACACTTCTAGACGTGTACTGTGAGGGATAAAATCATCCTGGTAGAAAACCACTGTGTTAGTATTGCTATTGATCTTTTACCTTAGTATTAATATTATGGAGTACTTTCCCTAATGTGTTTTTTCATAACACAATTTAAAGAGACACTAAACTCATATACAGAAAAGAATGTAAGTACATTTGTCCTTTTGAGCATATCTTTGCATTACTCTTCATATCTTAGCATATTGGTTTATTTATTTTTATGTTCTTTCAGACATTTTCTTCTGTAATGAAGGCTGAATACCATAAATTGTTCACAGTACTTGTTTTTAGATTCATGATATTTATTAGCCATATAAAATATTATTGCTAATTCTTCAAGAATAATGATGATATAGTAGCAAATCTTTCTTTAAAAAAGACTATGCCAAGAAAGATTCATGGCCAGTATATTATTCATTAAATGTCATCAAGATTGTTCACAATTGAATAATCTAGCAGGGGAACTTTTTACTAATTATACGTAGCAAGTAATTAGTATTATAAAATATCGAGAAAGAGAGAATTATACTATAAAGATATTTTATCTAAAGTAAATATTGCAAAGGTGATCAACTGAGCAATAGATCATGAATTGATAGAAAGGAGGTGAGACTCCTTGGCTCTTATATCCCTTTATTTACAACTCTCTTATAATACTACATATATTGTTTAAATATTTATTTAAACTAGAGGTTAGCAAACATGTCCCAGTGGTCAATTTAGCCTCACACTTGTTTTTGTAAATGCGTTTTATTTAGATACAGTCATGCCTATTTGTTTATTTGTTTCCTATTCATGCTTTTGTGCTACAGTGGTAGAGTTGAGTAGTTGCAACAGAGATTTTCTGGCCTAGAAAGCCTAAAATATTCGTTATTTGGCTCTTTACAGAAAAGGGTTGGTAGTGCTAATTTAAACTATGAATAAATTCCTTCATACGTAACTCATTAAATTGCAGTACAAAACTGCAACTGATGCTCGTTAAATGAGGGAAGGAAAAAAAAACAAAAAGAAAGAAGACAGGAAGAGAAAGAGAAGTTGGAAAGTATAAAGGATTCAGGAAAAAATCTTAAAAACTCATGAAAAGAAAGCACGTTAGCTGGCTGGCTAGAGCAAGGAGCAACACTTAGAATTTAGTAGGGGATGAGAAAAATTAAAGTGGGGAGAATTATCATGGTTAATTAGTATTAACCCTTTCGGTAGAAATTTTAGTGGTCTTAAGAAGCAATTTAGTTTCCCTGCCAGGACTTGACTCAAAAGCTGGCTTGCTGAGGGGAAGGTGACTGACTCAGAAGGGAAATAATGATACTTGAGAGGATTGATTTGGGAGCAAAGGAGACCTCATTTCTTACCTCCACTCACCCACGTGCTAAGAATAAAGGTGCATTTCTATGGGCCTCTGTCACCTTGCTTATAGTATGGATAAGGAAACTATCAATCTGAAGGCAGGATACTAAATCAAATAATATTATAGATCCTTTCCATCCTTAATCTTTATGGCTTTTCTGTCTCTAAAGTTCTGGGGTTCACTTAAATGTGCTAGTGGTTCTCCTAGTCTACTTTTGAATCCTTGTATACTTCATCATTTAGCTTCCTTTCTCCTTGTTATCCTATCTGAAGCTTGTTAACTTGATTCCATTCCAAGGATTCCCAGTTCCATTTGGATTCCTGTGTTCTTTACCCTGGTGACTAACGTGGGCCTGAAACTTATTGCCCTCTATCTCAATTAACCCAACTTCAGCCCTCTTGCCGAGACCAGCATTTAACAGTACAAGTTTTAACGCACTCAGCAAGCTGAATTTTGTTCCTGGTATTCTTTCTGAACCTAGCTCTTCACCATTTAGTCAGAGACACTGATTTTTACCAAGAGATAGTTGCTACCTGAAAAAAACGAACAAGAACAAAGAAAAAAAATCCCAACAAAAATAAAGTTAAACTTTAATTTTTTGGGTTTCAGAAAAACAAAGTTTAAATTGTAAGATACTGGACTTAACTGAATTTCAAAAGCCTAACCCTTGTACATACAAGAAACAAAGTTTATACCAAAAATAAAAGACTTAAGAGAATGGCTCAGTGTGGGAAAAATGTATCCCTAATTGACCTCACCTGTATTAATGGCAATTTGAAGACCATATGCTGGGGCTGGGGGAAAACGGTTGAAGGGAAATCTTGGCAGAATTGAAGAGGGTTCTTCTGGAGTAGGTCCTTAAAATGGAGCTTTATGGCTAGGTAGGAATCTTCTGCAATATTTTAGGAACAAGACAGTTAAGGTTATAAATAGAGCATCATATAAGGATGGGCACATGCTCATAGGACTGACTGACTCTCAGGGCATAGTAATGGTGCTGGTGTGGAGTAAAGAGATTATAAGTGAAAAATTACAATTGTAAAACAGCATGGGATAAGTTATGAAACTGTTGTAGAATTGTTCAAAAACTTTCTACTAATAAAATAAGTGTAATTTGACTTTTACTTGCAACAGTTAAAATATCACAAAGTGTCAGTACAAACATATATAAAATAAATCTTATTTTACATTAAATGTAGATTCTATAGACAATGACAGTACAGAGATGGATTCAAGTTGTTAATATTAGAGGTAAAACTATATAGTTAATAGAAGAATTATTGAGGAGCAACTTTCTTTTGTAGAAACATGAAGAGACTTCTTAAATAAAATTTTCAAACCACACACCTTAAGGCAAACATTGGTTATAATAATTACATCTATCAAAATAAATTTTTCTTCAACAAAAAAACTCTTTGAACAAAATGAATAATGTATTACAAAAAGCCCAAATAATTGCACTATTTAAAAGAGTAAAAGAACTACTATCTAGAAATTTATACAAGGACCTCTAAAAAATCATGAAAAAGGCATCTCAAAAAAATGGGTACAGGAAATAAAAAGAAAATTTACAAAAGAAAAAACCCAAAAGGGTAAAATTATGTAAATCATACTCATCTTATTGTCAGAGAAATGGAAGGTAAATATGTCTCTTTGGCAAAAATTAGAAAACTGGATAATGCCAAATGTTGATAAGAACATAGGCATCCAGGATCCCTTGGTCTGTAGACGGCACAGCCATTTTTGGGTGCAAACAGACAGTACTTAGTCAAATTAAATACAAAAGTATAATGTGAACCTGCAAGTGTGCTTCTGGGAATATACCCTAAGTAAATTCTTATAGGAATATTTATGAGGATGTTGATGACAGCATTGTTTTTGTTTTAGAGTTGGAGACATCTGGGAGTACATCACAGGGAAGTGGATATAGAAAAAATGTGATAGATGCACACATACTTCAGAGTACTATGCTGCTGTTATAATAGCCTACTAAATGAACAATTTGCGAAGTGCATGAATCTTAAAGGTATATTTTTAGATTAAGCACAAACAAAGAAAAAGTGAAATGTAACAATTTTATTTTGGTAAATTAACAATTTGGGAATATAAAAAATAATAGGCATTTTAAGTGGTCACACAAAACAAACAAACCTATATAAGGAATGGGGACGAAGGAAAAAACTAATGACATAATTAACAAAAGGAGTAAATAGCACAAGAGGTAAGGAAACAAAATCACACCAATATAATTTCAGCTATAACATAAATGGTTTTTCTAGTTTGTTTGAGTTTATATGATTCACTGCAAGGTATTTCCTATAAGATAGAAGTCCAAACTTAAGTAGAATCAAGATATCTTAAAGGTAAGCTAATATACTAGCTATTATCATTTTAATATGAAGAAATTAGAACAAAATTATTAAGGCTGAGTGAGTTGCCCACACAGATCTAGATCACACTATTGACTTTTGGTCCAAAGAACTTCCCACCAAATTACATTGACCTGTTAATAAAAACCAAACTGTAAACTTCAAACTGAGAGTTTCCTTAACCTAGAGTTGTTTAGTATTCAGTTGATGACATAGTACAAAAAATGTGAATCTTATAATGATAAATAGTTGGAAAATTTAGCAAGAAGGAGTTATTCAACACTATTTAATTAACAAGTTAGGATTCCAACATTTTGCTCTGATTTACTTCATTTGTTTCAAAAACATAATTTTCTTTTTATCATTTTTTTGCACATCCTGCATTTTACTGGAGGGTATAACATCAAAAATTGGTAAACACTAAACGAACTACAGAGGGGTGCATTTCAGGACTTCCCTAATGTTTCTGGAAAATGAAATGATACCAGTACTCTCATGTTCCTTTTTAACTCCTCCTGAGGAGAAGTACCCATTAAAGGCTTTACTATGTATGGTGCCCTGACAGTAAACTCTGTGCTAATGTACTCATCAATTGACACTAGAAGATGGTATTTTTAGATGTTTACTAAATAGAGTTAGCGTTTCCTTTTGCTTATCCAGGTTGAATTCTTAGTCCCCTTTCTCTACTCTTTTGTGCTTAGTCTGCCTCAAAGGGATGAAGTTTTGATAAAATAGTTCTTAGAAATTTGGTTGGATATGGAGCTCCTTCACTCAGCAAATATAAAATGATAATCTACTCTCGCCAAGACAGCAATTGATTATATAAAATATTATTGCTCAGGTAATGAATTTATTCCATGGAACTGAGCTTGTTGTAATGACTGAACCTAAAAGCTCTAGACCAGCCATCATAGCTTCCTTGTGTTCAAGAATTGCAATTTGGCAGTGGGTCCTGGCAAAATGGCACCAGATACCTGGAACTTTTTTAAAAGGGATCATGTGATTAGATGAGTTTCACTAGAATAATTAACGTAAATTAAAGTCAACTAATTTAGTAACCTTAATTTCATCTGCATAATCCATTTTGCCATGTAAAAGTTTTTTCTTTTTTGTTTTTATTTTTAATACAAGAGACATTAGGGCACCAAGGTGGATTTCTTAAAACCCTCACTATACATAGCTCTTGAGCACTGCCTCATCCTTGGACAGATTGTATCTCAACAGTCTCTGCTGAGCAACCCTGGCACATTTTTTAAACCTCCTGCTCCCTTATTTTATGCGAGTTCTCATCCTGAATCCTGATTCTGCTTGTAGTACCATTCATGTGCACCTGAATATGCAGTTAAGAGGCTTAGTGGATCCATCCGTGGATCATTATTTTGTATTCTGTATTCACACTCACAAATCAACTACAGACTTGGAATAACTAATATAATGTTTAAAATGCCCTTTTCAAACTCATTCGGCCTTGAATTTATGTACTCACCATTGTAGTTTCCACAGGTACTTAAAATTAATCAGTTACTACATGTATACACATAAGAGAGATAGCTAATCAGAGTCAGTAAAAACTATATGCACACCTTTAGGCAATGGGTTTCACATAGTGACCAAAGACAGGTTTATCTCCAGAGGTGCTGGAAAAGTCTTTGAGTTGTACTGTTCTAAGGAAGATTTCCAAAAGCTCAAAGAAAGACCAAGTACCCTGTTTGGCCAACACACACTTTCATTCTTAGGAGAGGTATCTGTTTGACAGCAGAGAACTTGGCTGCCAAATAGTGACCTGGCTATATTCACTATCTACACAAAACAGCCTGGAAAAATTCTTGCCAAGTAGAGGTTTTTAGAGTGGTTAGCCCTTAATGCTCCTGGCTCTAGAAAAGTGCCCAAAGTGTATTTCATGTCTGAGGTCAGGTCATCCAAGAGGGAAACCCTCAGCCAAGGATTCAAGTGTAAGTGATTTATGAAGAGCAGGTTCCCAGGAGAAATTGATTATGCAATACAGAATGGAGAAGGAGAAGAACCAAAAAAAAAAAAAAAAGTGTGTGTGTGGGGCCGTGCAATTTCAGCTGAAATCCCAGCCTCAGCCCGTTTCCAGAGAAAGCAGTGGAGCGTAAACTACACGTCAGTTTGCCATGTTTCAAGGCAAATAAACTGGTGTTGTGTTTCTTTACCAGCCACCCCAGGGAGACTCTGTGGGTCACCCCAGAGAAACATAAGCTCCTAGGCAATTCCAGGTAGATTGCCACAAGAGCAGAGTGGCTCCAGTAACCCCAGGGCAATCTTTCTAGGAGTAATCAGAAGCAAGGCAAACTAAAAGTAGGGAACATCTTATGGGTAAAGGTGATTGAGGGATCCGGCCAGAATATCAACTGGGGGCCATTATGTATCTTCTGTAAGTCTCTGGGAAAATGTTCGAATGTCTGCTACAACCCTATCTCCCACCTCTATGACTCTCCTTGTTGTTCCTCTGAGAGTCATTCTGTTGCTTTTATGGATGTTTAGGTAGGAAAGTGCAAAATACTTGATGGATTTTAAAACATGAAATGGTGCTACAATGTCACAAGTTATCTCTGCTAGTTTAAATAGAAACAGGTATAAAGACATTTTGCTACCAAGACAAGCACTGCACAGACATGATAATTAATGAGCTGTTGTAGGTGTTCTTTAAGGCAGCAGTCCCCAACCTTTTTGGCACCAGGGACCAGTTTACTGGAAGACAATTTTTTCATGGACAGGGCAGTGGGTGATGGTTTGGGGATGAAACTGGTCCACTTCAGGTCATCAGGCATTAGATTCTCATAAGGAGTGCACAGCCTAGATCCCTCATATGTGCAGTTCACAATAGGTTTCATATTCCTAGGAGAATCTAATGCCACCGCTGATCTGATAGGAGGTAGAGCTCAGTTGGTAATGCTGCATGGCCCATTTCCTAACAGGCCACAAACTGGTACCTGTCCATGGCCCAGGAGTTGGAAACCCCTGTTTTAAGGAACTCTGGACAAAGTGCTTTGGAAGACAGTGTGGTATGACAGATAATATAGCATGGAATTTGGAGTCATGAGACCAAATACAGTAGGCAGAATCTAAGATGGCACTCCTAATCTATTAATACATTTTGGTGTTACTCCCTGGCAATTATGTCATGTGATAAAAGGAATTTCTCAGATTTAAGTAAGTTTACTAATGAGTTGAGTTTCAGATAGGGAGATTACTGAGGTGGGCCAAACCTATCCAGGTGGATTTCTCCCAAAGCCTCCAGATAAGATCTCATCCTTGCTAACACATCGAATGCAGCCTTGTGCAGCCCTAATCAAAAAATATTCCAGTCAATTTCACCTAAATGTCTGATCTACAGAACTATGAGATGATAAATGGGTATTTTTTAAACTGCCAAATGTGTGGTAATTTGTTACACAGCAGTAGAATCCTAATATACTATGTTCGAATTGTAACTTTATTACTACCAAAGTGCTGTGACTGTGCATTAGTTTCCAAAGGATTCTGTAACAAATTGCCACAAACTTGGTGGCTTAAAACAACAGCAATTTATTTTTTCATAGTTTTAGAGGCCCAAATTTTGAAATCTGTATTGCTTGTCCAAAATCAAGCACACTCCCTCCATATTCCCTCCAGAGGCTCCAGAGAAGAGTTCATTTATTACCTTTTACATCTTCTGTTGGCTGTTGGAATTCCTTGGCTTGTGACTGTATCACTTTCATATTCCTCTGTCTTCACAATGCTTTCTTCTTTTCTCTCTCCTTCACCCTCCTGCCATTTCTCTCTTTCTCCCTCTTTATGTGTAAAATTTCCTTCTGCCTCCATCTTATAAGGATACTTATTGCATTTAGGGCCCATCTAGATAATTCAGGGTAATCTCCCCATCTCGAGATCCTTAATTTAATCACATCTGCAAGGATCCTTTTTTTATTTTCATATAAAGTAGCATGCATGGATTCCTGGGATTTGATCATTGGGTATGTTTTGGAGGGGCATTTTTCATCCCACCACACATTGTGAGCAGTCATCTAACAGCAGAGCACCCAGATATGTAAAGCAAATTTTATTAGACTAACAGGAGAGACAGACTACAATACAATAATGTTAGGGAATGTCAACACTCCACTTTCAACAGTGAGCAGATCTTACAGACAAAAAATTAACCAAAAAAAAAAAAAAAAAACAGACTTAAACTGACCCATAGACAAACTGAACCCAACAAACTTTTATAGAATATTCCATCCAACAGCTGGAGAATACACATTCTTCTAACATGCACATAGAACATTCTCCAGGATAGATCACATGTTAGGTCACAAAACAAGTCTTAACAAATATAAGAAGACAAAAATCTTATCAAGTATCTGACCACAAAAATATAAAACTAGAAATCAACAACAAGAAAAACTTTAGAAACTTTACCTGTACATGGACATTAAACAACATGCTATTAAACAATCAATGTGTCAATAAAGACATTTAAAGGAAAATTTAAAATTTCCTTGAGAAAAATGAAAATGAAAAACACATCATACCAAAATCTATAAGATACAACAAAAGCAGTTTCAAGAGACAATTTTATAATGATAAACTCCTACCTCAATAAAGGAGAAATATTTCTAATAACCTAGTAATGTACCTCAAACTCTAGAAAAAGAAGAAAAAACTAAAGGCAAAATTGGTAGAAGTAAGGAAATAATTAAACTTAAAGCAGAAATAGACTAAAAAGAATGAAAAAGATCACTAAAACAACAAATTAATTTTTTGAAATGATAAATAAAATTAAATCTTTAGGTCAGGAAAAAGTGAGAAGACTCAAATAAAATGAGACATGAAAAAGGAATCATTACAAGTGATACCACAGAAATACAAAGGATCATAAGAGACTATTGCATAAACTATATGCCAACAAACTTGATAACGTAGAAGAAATTAATTAATTCTTGGACATATATAACCTACCAAGGTTAAACTATGAAGAAATAGAAAATTTGAACAGGCTAATAATAAGTGAGGAAATGAAATCAATAACAAAAAAGTCTTTCATCAAAGAAAATCCCAGAACCTGATGACTTCACTCTTGATTTCCATCAAATATTTAAAGAAGTAATACCAATTGTCCTCAAACTATCCCAGAAAATTGAAGAGGAGATGGGAAGAATAAATATTGTTAAAAATGGCTAGACTACCCAAAGCAATCTACAGATTTAATGCAATCCCTATCAAAATACCAATGGCATTCTTCACAGAAATAGAAAAAACAATTCTAAAATTCATATGGAACCACAAAGGACCTGAATAGCCTCAATAATTCTGAGCAAAAAGAACAGAGCTGGAGGCATTACACTACCTCACTTCAAAATATACTACAAACGTGTAGCAACCAAACAGCATGATAGTTGCATAAAAACAGACACGTAGATCAATAGAAAAGAATCGAGAGCCCAGAAAAAAAATTACACACCAACTATAATTTTGTTGTGTAATTTTGGTGTGTAATGGCCGACTGATTTTCAACAAAGATGTCAGTAACATTCATTGGGAAAAGACAGTCTATTTAATATATGGTGCTGGGAAAATTGAATATTCACATGCAGAAAAATGAGACTAGACACAAGCCTCTCATCATATATAAAAATCAACTCAAAATGAATTAAATACTTAAATGTAAAGTCCCAAAGAAACTATAAAACTACTAGAAGAAAATATAGGGGAAATGCTTCACAACATTAGCTGGGCAAATATTTTTGAAATAAGACCTCAAAAGTACAGGCAACAAAATAAAAATAGACAATTGAGATTACGTCAAACTGAAAATCTTTTACATAGCAAAAAGAACTATTTATAGTAAGGAGATAATCCAGAGAATGGAAGAAAATGTTTGCAAACTATACATCTAACAAGCAGTTGATATCCAGAATATATAAGGAACTTAAACAACTCAACAGCAAAAAAAATAAACTAACTTGATTACAAAATGGGCAAAATACCTTAATAGACGTTTCTTAAAAAAAGATATATAAATGGCCAACATGTATATAAAATAAATGCTCAACACCACTAATCATCAGGGAAATGCAAATTCAAACCACAGTGAGATAGCATCTCACTCCCATTAGAATGGCTGTTATCAAAAACACAAAAAATAAGGGATGGTGGCAAAGATGTGGAAAAAAGGAAGGTCTTATGCACTGTTGGTGGGAATGTAAATTACTACAGCCGTTATGAAAAACAGTATAGAGCTTCCTTAAAAAATTAAAAATAGAACAACCATATGATCTAGCAATCCCATTACTGGCTATATACCCAGAAGAAATTAAATCAGTATGTTGAAGACATATCTGTACTTCCATGTTTATGGCGCACTATTCACAATAGCTACATTATGGAATCAACCTAAATGCTCCTCTCCAGATAAATGGGCAAAGAAAATGTGGTATATGTACACAATAGAATACTATTTAGCCAAAAAAAAAAAATAAAGAATCAAATTTTGTCATTTAGGACAACATGGATGGACATGAAAGGTATCATGTCAAGTGAAATAAGCCAGATACAGACAGGAAGACAAATACTGCATGATCTCACTTATATGTGGAATTAAAAACAAGTATCTATCATGAAAACAGAGAGTAGAACAACATGAGGGGAGAACAGGGAGAGGTTGGACAATGGAAACAAAGCTATAATTAGATAAGAGGTATAAAGTCTGGTATTCTATTGCACATTAAGGTGAGTATAGTGAACAATAAAGTATTGCATAATACAAAATAGATAGAAGAGAGATTTTTGAATATTCTTACCACAAACAAGTAATAAATGCATGAGCTGATGGATGCATTACCCTTGTTGGATCATTATACAACATAGATATGTATTGAACTATAAACTTGTACCCCATAAATATGTGTGCAGTTAAAAATGTATCAATTTTAATAAATAAAATGTAAAAAGAAGTGTAAAACATCTAATATAGTGCCCTGACAGGGTTGACAGCCAATGAATGATAATTATTTTTGCTTCCAGAAAAGCTATGAGGAATTAAGTCAATTATGTTGAAACTATACAGGTATTTAAAAATTTAAGCTAACAAAATTATAATCTTCTAACATAAAGATATAAATTCATACTTCTTATTTTATTTTATTTTATTATTATTATACTTCAAGTTTTAGGGTACTTCTTTATTCGCATCAAGATCTTAATTCATAAATGGTAACATTTGATGCTAGAAATTGTCCATTTATCAGCTGTCTGTTTTAGAGAATTGTCAAATAAATGCTGTGTTACTGCCATTTTAATTCAATTGGATTTCACTTTAACTCTGCAAATGTTCAATCATTCTGCTATGTGCAAGGAACTCTGCTGTTCACCAGGACATGCATATCTTAGCAGGACACAATCTGTGACTTAGTCAGTCTCACAATCCAGCAGGGGAATGAGAGTTTTCCTTAAATACTTGCTTCATAGAGCACATACTAAGTTGGGTATTAATTCAGTTATTCTCTATTTTATGAAGTCTGCATCCAAACTTGAAAGCAAACATCATCAACAACAAAAGCCACAAGCATTAAACACAATTGTTTGATTCAGGGTCAAAGAAATGAAAACACAACATAATGCTCATAAATTCTTTTTGTGTGTGAATTTTCCACAGCTTTACAAATACACATTGTTCTAAGAAAAACCCATGAGAAAGATATTCAAATAATCACAATCATTTATTTCATTTACCACTATATAAGCCAAGCCTGCATCTCCCTGCATTTCACAGTAGAGCTGCGTTGGGCTGACTAGAACTCATGGAGAACCTCTGAACCCTAACTGAGTCCTTGGAAATGTTTTATGAAAATTCAGGAGACTTCAATAGCAGGAATGGCTCTGAAATATTGTTTTTCTTTGCTTTAAGTACTTTTGTAATACAACTATACTTGTGGTATTTCTGCCTATGTTGGCAGTAGTGTTTTAAGTCAACAGAACTTCTCTATAAAAACAAAACAAAAAGACAGTGACTCACTAATCTGTTTGAAACAGACAAAACATTTGATAAACTAACAGAAATTGTTCCAAGGATTTTGTTGTTGTTTTCTTTCTTTCTTTCTTCTTTTCTTTCTTTCTTTCGTTCTTTCTTTCCTTTTCTTTTCTTTCTCCTCCCCTTCCTCCTCCTCCTCCTCTTCCTCCTCCTCCTTCTCTTCCTCCTCCTCCTCCTCCCCCTCCTCCTCCTTCTCCTTCTTCTTCTTCTTCTTCTTCTTCTTCTTCCTCTTCTTCCTTTTTTTTTTAATGTCCTTTCAGATTTCCTTCTGCAATGGAATTTGTCTCAATAGTTTTGTGATCCATTAAGGTTAACTATTTCTGTTAACCCTCAAAATATTAGAAAATATCCCAATGTAAACTTTTCTGTCTCATAATCATCTTGTGTTCCATAGACATGTGTATTAGTATGTAGCATACAGGAGAGGGAAGCAAATGCAGTAAGATTAAACTTCATGCAGATAATTTTTGCTATTGTAGAAAGCTTTATCTTTCACAAGAAAAGACAACTGACAGCAAAAGCAACTGGCAAAATAGCACTCAAGCTGAGAAGGTGTTGGATATTTATATTTGAACAATGAGTCTTTGAATCTAATGGGATGGAAATACTTATCTTCCCCACACTGTATTAAAACTTCATGAAACAGACCCGAGTAACAGTATACTTAGTGCTCAAAAATATTCTTTATATGTTTCTGGGGTAATGCAACTTCCAAGTACAATATTCTTGAAACCATATTGTTAAGCAGACTATTAGACTGATACAGTAGACTCAATGCCACCTATATTTTTCTGCTTGATTTTGACTACTACCCACAAGCAATCTATGAGTTAAGAGAAGAGAAGTTCTATAAAGAAAAGTTTATTTCGAACTTCAATGTGGACTGACTAAATTATACCTTACCTTCTGAAAAATGAAAGAAAATGCTAGAAGCACTTTTTTAGCTGCTATTTTTTTGTTACTCTTCTGTCTAGACACAAATTCAAGATACCAGAGGAGCATCTAAGGTTTGACAAGGAAATAGCAATTTGGTAGCCTTAAAGCAAGTCTGGGTGTACTGTCATTTTAAAAGTATCTCACACATTTTGCTCACTGCTACAACCATTTTTGACTTAATGATGATAAGAGAATGGCTTATTCTGAGATATGAACATAGACTCATAAAATAACTTGTTCATATTCAAGAGTGACTTTACCAATTGTAAGCCTCATTCCTTTCACCTACCTTTTGGATCTAGCCTTACTTGTAAGGAGGCCAGGTAAGGGCAGAATTAGAAGAGTGTGATCAGAGGTGTTAACATTCATCTTTCAAAACCCATTTCTTTTGTAACATGATGTTTTTCTTTCTCAGAGAGGTAAAAACCTCTTGCAAGTCATTCAATTTGTTTCTTGTTTATTTGAACAAAAAGAGTTGCTTGATGTAATGATTAAACATTTCAGATTTGTTAGCAATATCACATAAACTTTGATTCTATTTTAAATGAACCACAATTTTTCCACCCACCCAAAGTGAACAATAATAAAAGTGTGTATATCATATATATATATATATATATATATATATATAAATATGTGAAAACTCAGCTCTCATACCATTCAGAAATTAAAATTTGTTTCTCTAGGCTAGAGCCCATGAGGTTCACTAGTCTACATCTAGCAGGATCAAACTTCTAAAGCTTTTAGGATTGGTGAAAATTACCCACATACATTTCATAAAATGTTATAACTTCCATTCTTATCTGAGGAGTAAAGAGAATTCTGGGTTTTGGCAAATTCACCTCTGCAACATGTAATAAAACAGAAACAGAAAGAGGTATCGGACTAATCTCCATCTCACTGTGCAATTCTGTGAAAAAGAAAACAAAGTTGGTGCCACAAGTATGTGGCACATTCCTTCTCTTTGTCTTTTCTAAAACAATGGTATCTAAAAGCATGTTTTGTAGCCACAATATTTTCCAGGTCAGTTTACAAAGAAAAAAAGGGAAATATTCCAACCATAGCTTTGGGTTTAGGTACTTACTGCAGCAATGAATTTTAGAAGGTGACAGGTTACATAATGAGTTTGCAGTTATGATTGCACCTGGCCCTGGAAGGTTGCCATGCCATGAAAAGAGAATATCAGCTCACTTGCACTGGTGAACAACAGGCTAGTGCTGCTTTTGCACACCTGATAAACTGTTCTTGTTATAGGAACATTGATTCAGCTGTTCCAGCTGTATATGCTATTGTTTGTTCCCTCTTATTTGCTCACCATATATAATGATTTTCTCAGATATGCAAGAGTACTTGGGCTTTGCTTTTATTTAGAAACTCTTTTCTCTGTACATGAAGTGATTGTTGAGTATTCAATTATGGCTGAATTTTAAATGGTTGGGATCCAGTTCTAATTGATTTCAATGTAAATCAATAGAGTTTCTAATCAGGGTGAAGCTCAATGCTGAATGACTAGTTAAGCCTCTACCATTTTAATTTATGCCTAAGTCAATAGGCAGTATTGTATTTCATATTTGATTGGAACTATATTGCATCCAGAATTGAAGCTATAAAGCAGTTTGTTGACAGAGTGATATGTATTACTTTGTAAACCTGTACATTCCAGGCCACATAGAAGCATTTGAAATGCAAGAATAATAAACAGGAACACTCAGGAATATTTTTAAATCTAAGGGAATTTTTTTTAGGGGAGCAGTAAATAAAAGCAGTAGCTATTTAACATTAGGTGTTCAAGTTGCTACTCTGTGGTGGGCAATAGAAGTTTTTGAAAAAAATACATAATATCATGATTATAAAGCATTACTGCAGGGAGGGTTAGGCTTCAGGAGAAGATAACCAGACAAACCAGTTCTTAAGAGGGTGGCTGATTGGCTGTTTTGCTAAAGATAAATCTTTCCTCTTCCAAATATTCTGAAAAAAAAAAGTAGACTAATAGCAAGAAGTGTAGTGATTTGCACATTATCCAAGCCATTGAGTTATTCCTGCCTGTCCTCATTCTGGTTCTTGATTTGCAGGCCAGCTATGCTCTGCAGCTGGAGCAAATTATATCAGCAGAAGTGCTGATGTGACCACAAGTTGACAAAAGGACATGATTTCTAGTAGCAAAAAAGCAACTAGATTTTATGAAATTGTATCTAATAATGTTGTTTAACTCATGGATCCTGCATCTGACGCCTGCTTTTTATCCAGTCCTTTCAGCGGCCCTTTGTTAACAGTCACTCAGAAGAGGAAATAAAATGTAGCCATTGAAATAAAAATTGCTCTACTCTTTTTAATAGCTCAGCTGCAGGCTCTATTGTTTTATTTAATGGATTGTATAACTGAAGTCTCTCCTCCTGATGATTCCCATTTGGCTTCTGAGTCCCCAAACTCTGTCAGAATCTTGGGGGTTCCAGAAGGAGGGGAGTCTGGTGTTTTGCTTGTTCAAAATACAAGTGGATAGTAAAAGCAATAACATTCTTTAAAATGTAGTTTCTGCTATGGAATCTATATTACTATGAGCAAGAAGCAAAGATTTTTCATCAAAGAAAGCATGTTTAGACAGTCCCTAGATTCAACAATTCTAGTTCAGGATACAGTAAAAAAATTTATTTGCCTAAATGTACAGAGGCAAGTAGGCTTGGCGGCAGTAGTAAGAGGAAAAAAGAAAATAGAGGTACTAGAATACATAATTGTCTTCCTTCTTGTCAAAATCAATGTGTCATCTTCGAATTGGTAGATGGGGTCTTTGCTAGAGAATCCCGGCAATGGATCTCTCTCTCTCCTCGTGCCTGACTATCCATTATAGATATGAAAAGCGTACCTATAAATCATTTGAGTTTGACTTACTATCATTCTAAACAGTATACATGGTTATTATATTTTTAATTATTTCATACTTTTTGGTTCTACAGATCTGTTAAGATGTATCTGGTTTCTGTTGGAAGAATTACAGTGACTTAAAAATATATATTTTGCTCCTGCTTTTCTAAGAAGAATTTCATTCTGTATATATTCAAAAGATCAAAGTTAAAAAATAAAGTGCCTCCTACATAAGGAAGGTGGTATAAAATACCAAGAGGAAAGATCAACCCTCTGCTCCATACTTATTAATATTTCAAATATGAATGAATTGCCGAGTATTTACCTGACTAAAGTAAACTGTTTGCTATGGTTCTTGGAAGATTCTGCAGAAAGCTTTTGCAGCTCATTTTTGTCCTACTTTTATGTGTTCCATCAGAGCAGGTTCATTGTTTTAGTAAGAGGAGGAGAAAGATTTGTTAAATCACGAAGTGCTAAGAAGCCTTTCAGCTGAGAAAGATACACAATGTACAAAGCAGTTAAAACAAATCATACAGTATAACCTGTTAAGGATGTAATTGAGATACATGTAATCATTAACCTTGGAACAGACTGGGAATCTGTTAATGAATCAAATCAGTACCCTCTCCACTGATCCATAATAATTTGAAATAAATGAAAAGTTTAACAGTTACTGTATGTGAGGTTATCGTGGGCTGCAATTAGCTAGCCTCCAGGAGATTATGTTACCTAGTTACCCAAAGGTAAGTATAATTTCTGTAGATCTTCTGGAGAGATTGTCATAAAGACAGGTGTTAGACATGGAAAAGGGTCAGGAAAGGATATTTGGTACAGCCCAAACCTGGGTTATCTTTCAATAATTTCATTCCATCTATCCTCCTTATGACATTTCATACTCCTAGTTCAAGTGAATGTATTGCTCTGAAAAGACATTACAATTTAATTTTGATGGTTAAAAAAGTGATTATCCCCTTTATATCTTACTACACATTTAGATCTCACATGAGATGGCAAAGAGGTCAAGACAAAAATTCTGCATTTGGGAAAAGAATAACACATGGACTTCCTCCTACAGGTAAGACACTTGTATATGAAAGTATTTCATGTTTATACAAGCCCCCTCCCACCCCCCACCAACCTCCATCTCAACAGTTCCAGCATGGTCATTATTGCCAATAGAATTATACAGAAGAATAGTGAAAAGGAATGAATGCTTTTGCATCTATTGTATCATCACATTTTTCACACCCCCATTTTGCAAGTAGTATGTAGTACCCTACAAAATAGTATATAGAGAGGAAAATGATCCCAGGGTCCATTGCTTTTATATATATTGCTTTGATGTAAACCTTAAAAGAAACAATCATTGTATATGCAGTTCCATAGGAAAATCTCAATTTGGGGAAGATATAAAAAGAGATATTGCCATTCTCTAGGGAACCAGTAAATAAAACGGAGAACAGAATTTTTTTAAAATGCATGTAAAATATATGCGTATGGAAATGTTAAGAGCCTTATTTTATAATGCCAAGGAGGGCACAAGATAAAAACTGTTGTCATTTGTTTCCAGGGAAAGCAGTCGGTGAGACCAGGCACAGTAGGATAGTTAGTTAGCTACCACATGTAAAGCTGAGAGCAGATGGTGCCGTTGATATAGAGCGCAGGAATGTGCGTGTTTATGCGGGTGCGTTTCTGTGCGTGTGCGTGTGGAAACCAGCAAGGAGTTTGACACTGATGTACTCCATCAAGTCCAGTTATAAAGAACAAGTAGATAGAACAACATTCTGTGCATCTGGCAGCCTAACTAGCTCTGTCAATCTGTGGATACTGCTGACATTGTACTATAAGCTTCGATTCCATCTGTGTTGTTTATTTTGAGCTGGATTTACTGCACACTATGTGAATTGATGATGGCTAGAAGGTCCAAAAGATTCTGAGTCTGTTTAAAGTTCCAAGGTGTCAAATTACACAGGATTGTGTCACGAACATTATGAAAGGGTAAGTGGAGAGGCAAACTGATTTCAGTATTTGTTAGACGTCCAAGAAAAATTGCCGAAAATATAGATGAAGAAGGTTTATGAAAACATATAAAGAGTACATATGAACTCCTGCAATCAAATGTTTCCTTTTCAAGTTGTATTGTGTCATTTTAAAAAATTCAAAATATGTACAAACAAATAGACAAGTCAAATCAGCTCTCCACTCTGGGGTTGTGACATGCATATTATTCAAAACTTTCTGATCAGTACCATATTAAATTGCCAGAATTAAGGAATGGACTTGATGGGTGAGGGTTGTGCCTGCCTTCTTTCTGAATGGCTAGATCTGAGGAACAGGTATATTTCTATGCACCCACTATTAATTTATTCTGTGAAGATCCTTTCTTGCTTCAATTTCTTTCTGTATAACAAAATGTTTATAAATCTTTCTACCATACAGTTTAGGAAATAGACTTTGCTATCATCATCAAGAAATCATGAAATAAATTGAGAATATACTTTTTAATGAAAATTGTATACATTTATGTGAGAGAGCAACACTAATTGGGATAGGTCATCAGTTTCAAGGCTTTTGTCCATTTTAATTTTCAACACACTGTGCAGCTGAATGCTATGCCTGCATGATGCTGGAACATTCTTATGAACAGAGAAAAGAGATTTAATGATTCAAGCATTTTATCTGCATCTGCATATCAGATATCGTTTAATTTATGTGGCTGCTCTTGTCTGCTTATGTAGTAAGTAGCCTAGATCAGAATTTTCCTGTACCAGTCGAACTCTGTGCAGTTTAACTTGCAGTCATTGAATGAAAAAAGCATTTTGTTTATGATATAGAAATTTCAATTCGTGCTTTCAACCCCCATTCAGTTAGTGGTTGGTTATGGTTGAATTGTGTCACTGAATACAAATATATTTACATGTAACTCTCCTCCTCTTTAAAGAAAAAAAATTTTAATTATCCTGCCTTATTCATTTCAGAGCTAGGGTGTCAAACAAAATCTATGAATGTAGTTCATTTGATTGGCAATGTTTAATATTCATCTGTTGAGTGGGTACTTATCCATATTCATAATATATGCTAGGTAATGTGAGATATATAAGCCAATACAATATACATTCCCTAGTCTCAAGAAACTTTAATATCTAGTTGAGTAGGTAAGCCATTCTTATAAAAATATCAAATAGCAACACATATATTCAATATCAATTAAAAAATACAAGGATGGCACAAATTGGACTTAAAGTTGGAAAAGTTTCATTACAGTCTTCTACCTGCCAGACACTATATTGGGTACTTCCTCTCATTAGGTGTCTCACCCAGCTCCTCAAAAACTCTTTGAGATATTTTCCCCCATGTATGAGATGAAGACAGAGGGGAGAGTAGATATAACTTGTCTGGGCCACATAGCCACTGAATGACTAAACAAGATTTTACTTCAATTTACCTCCATAAGCACATATTGAACATCTGTTCTATACCAGGCATAGTGTTTGACACTGAGATAAATAAAACGAAAAATCTGTTTTAAGAAGTGCAGAGGCTTGTAAGGAATAAAATATAAAAAGTTTAATGTGAATATAATGCAGTAAGTGCTGAAATAGATGTATACATAGGGAATGATAAGAACAGAGGAGAGAGCACCTAGCTCAGAAAGGTAATTGACTTAGACAGAGAAGGAAAATGTGACAGGCTTCCAAAACAGGCACAAGCACAAACAAGGTTACAGTGACACAAACAACAGGGATAGTGGGAAATGCAGCTTTTGCAGCACACCATGGTAACTCATGTGACCAGTGAGGGAAGAACACATTTAACACTATGCATCATGGTAGGAAGTAACCCCAGTGGGCCGAGGTATTGAGACAAGGCTTGAATTAAATAGGTTTTCTGTTGACTCATGAACTTTGGGTATATTTATTTTGATTACACAGATAAAGAATGACCAGATATTGTAAGTGAACATAAATGGGATCAATGAATACTTAGAGACAAAGGTGTTAAAACCAATATGGTAGGTTGAGGAATGTACAGGCCAGTATGGTAGATCTGCTAACTTTCCATTCTGATGATCAGTTGTCATGTACAAACTTGAAGCCTGTTATCACCTAGAGATGATCCACCTCTAAAATCATAAATTCCACTCCCTGGCAACAACTTCTTAACTGTTCAGGTTTTATTGTCATCCTCATTCTCCAAACTGACCAAGACCTTTAATCCCTTAATCCTCCAATTTATATGTCTTTATCAACCATAAACTATTTAATTCCTGACTGATCTAGACTCCCTGGCCTACCACTTCAGCCACTCCTCTTGCCTCAAGTTCCTTGCCTAATTTTACTTTTATATCACACATTCCTGCAAAAACTTCAAGATTGGAACAATTCATTCTTATTTCTCTAGCTCTCTTTTCCATTATTCAAAGAAATGATTTTCATGACTATTTCTCTCTAAGCCAGTTACCTTCTGACTCTCAGCTCATTATCTCTTCACAAAGAGAATGGAAATTGTCATCCAAGCACTACAAACAAATGGAGATAGTGTCCACTGCAATCAATCACAAGTGTAGAGGTATTATGAGGCCAATCCTTTTATCTGTACTTTGGATTCTCCTTCCTCCTTTTTTACCTGTCTTTCTTCCCTTTTTTTTTTTTTCAGATTCTTACATATTTGCTATCTCTTTCTCAAGAATATTGTCTAAATATACTTAGGTCTTTCCAATCACAAAAGCAAAACAACACCCTTTTCCACAAGTCACTCTTTTGCTACTGTCCTATCTACCTCTAGCATTGGCAAACATTGAAAAAGTGGCCTAGAGTCATTGTTCTGTGCTTCCTTCACTTTCAATGCATTCTTCAACCCATTGCAAACTGGAAAACATTGCCAAGAGTTCTCTGAAACTGTTTTTGTTAAGGTCATCAATGAATGCCTTGTTTCCAAATCCCTCGTAGGTATTCTTACTTTATTTTACTGGTAGGACTTGATATTGCTAACTAACCCCTCCTCTTTAAACATGGTTTCCTCGGTGTAATTACATCACTCTCTAATTTTCTTGGTAGACTTCTTGTCCACTGCCATTTCTCTAAATATTAGTGTCTTCAGGGATATCTCTTAGGTCTTTGACGCTTATCTTTCAATGCGTTCTTCCTGATGAATATCATTTATATCTTTAATCATAATTTACACACCTGTACCATCATTCACATGTGGGAAAATGTGATCCAAGGAATAAATCCTCAACTAATGTATTTTTGGTGAGTTTTAGTCAGTCCTACATGTTTAAATAAGTACTCAATTTCTACCCTTGTTGTTGATGATGCATCCAGCTTTGAAACCGTGCCCTTTCACACGGCCGTTTTTCAACAGGTCCAAAACTGGATGTATCATCTCCTTCTCTCTTTCTTCCAGCCAACTTTCATAAATATTCTCAAATCCATGAACTTCCTTTCTAATAACACTATTCTAGTAAATGACTAGAATTTGACTAGAATAATGTTGCATTTTCTAATGTAAAAAAAGAAACCTAATCACTTAAGACATCTATAATTGAGTATGAAATGTATAATACAGGTGAATAGCAAAATATTAAAATTAAATGAACTAAAAATTATACCCCTTTTAATTAAGTTGAAACATTGAGTGAACTACACATAAAATGCTAAGTTTCAAAAGCCTAACTCATAAGAAACAAATATTTTAATCAAGTTAAGGACACATCATTTTAATATTAATATTCCTAGTTCCCAGCATCAGAGCTATAACAGAGTTGCTGGTCAATTGATATTTATTAATAAATTAGTCTGTTTGTTCTTCAATACTACAAAAAAGTGAAAAGCCTTACAAGATTTTCAACCAGGTAATTCACACATGAATATGATAAAGTTGTAATTTATTCTATATACTGAATGGCTAATAAAATAAGAATGTTACAACTGTCCTGATTTATGTCTGATAGAATTATATAATTAAGTAGAATATGGTAATAATACAAGGAATATCAGGTATTAAAATGACTAGTCAGGTTAGCTTTGTATTAAACAAAGCTCTATTTTACAGCTTTAGTTTCAGTGCAAAAGTGACCACTATTCATGGGGAAAAAACTTTTTTGACAAGCTTGACCCCACCATAAATGGAAAACTAGTATTTTATGCCTCCTGCTAAGGAAGAAGGTTGACTCTTCTTCAGCCAAAACAAACTTTATAATTTTTTTCCTCAGTAAGGTCATTTCCTCCCTAAGCAGTGAGTATGGATTAATATGCTGATAAGAAATTAGTAAGTCTAGTTCATATTGCAGTAACACTCTGGACTGAAAGCAAAAAGGAATGAATTTTACTGTTGATGTCGTTTGGTTTTGTGTCCCTGCCCAAATCTCATGTCCAATTGTAATCCCCAATTTTGGAGAAGGGGTCTGGTGGGAGGTGATTGGATCATGTGTGCAGATTTCCCCCTTGCTGTCCTGGTGATAGTGAGTGAGTTCGTACGAGATCTGGTTGTTTAAAAGTGTATAGCACCTTTCCCTTCTTTCTCTTTCTCCTGCTCCTGCCGTGTAAAATGAGCCTGCTTTCCCTTTGCCTTCACCATGATAGTAAGTTTCCTGAGGCCTCTCCATCCATGCTTCCTGTACAGTCTGCACACCTGTGAGCCAATTAAACCTCTTTTCTTTATAAATTACCCAGTCTCAGGTATTTCTTTATAGCAGTGTGAGAATGGTCTAATATGACTATGGTTCCATCCTCCTTTTATTGTAAAATACACAAATACAAATAAAGACATAAAAAACATGAATGCACAACTTAATTAATTATAATAAAGCAAACATCCATGTAATTCACCACCAAGTAACAAAAGAGAACTTTGTCAACAGCTCTACCCAATTATAACACCTTTTCTCCCACTCTAAGAAACTGTTGTTCGGATATTTACAGTAATATTTTCCTTGCTTTTCATTACAGTATTACTATGTGAAAATGTATCATTAAATTACATAATTTAGTTTTACTTGTTTTGAACTTAATATGAATGTAATAATGTAGTATATATTTCTTTTGTGTGACTTCTTCCTTTCAATGTTAGGTTTTTAAGATTTATCCGTGTTGCTAGTGATAACTGTAGTTCCTTCATTTTAATTGCTGGTGAGTAATCCCCTGCATAAATACACCTTAATTTACTTTTCCATTCTATTGCTGATAAATATTGGATTGCTTACAGCTTTTGCTATTGTAAATAAGGATGCTATCACATTTGGGCATATGTATCCTAGTGTACCTAAGCATGACTTTTTGTAGAGTACACAATCAAAAGTTAATTTCTGGTCTGAGAGTATATATATATATATATATACATATATATATAATGTATATATATATATGTATATATATATATGTGTGTGTGTGTATGCATATATATAATATATACATATATATAAAAATAACTTTACTAGAATGAAAAACAATAAAAATAGCAGAGAATTTTGAAAATTGGTTGTATCAGTTGAATTGGTTTTATTTAAGAAAGAGGATCTTAAATTCGACAGGTAAATTCCATCTAGTATTTCATATTTTACAAGAAAACAAGTGAATAGTCTGATTGAATTTTCAAAATAAAATAAAAATAAAGTATGAATGCCTAAAAGAGATTAGCAAATACCAGTGTTTTTTTTTCTAATTAAAAATGCATATTTTCTCACAAAATTGACAGGAATGCATCAATCACATTCATCTAAATTCTTATTGAAACGATAGTGCAAGAAGAAACAGGTAGAGCCTGTGAAGATTCAAAAGTAGATATAATGATTAGATTTTCATTTTATGGAATTCACATTTCTCTTATAATTTCACAAAGTTTGGAAGCCTTGCCCAACATGCAATTAAACAAATATCATTTGGGCTTATTAAAGAACTGGTTCTTAAAATACAACTTCCACTTTTTTTTTCTATTTATAAAGTTTGAGCATGGGAAGCTCTGCACTGAAACCAGTAAATCAAATCAGTGCTCTAGGACCTGGGAACTAGTGACTAGTTCTCTTGAAATGGAAAAAATAAAAAAGTCCCTATGCTTTGATTTACCATGAAACAAAATCCCTTTTCTTAAATTGCTTCAGAATTTTTAGAACCAGTGTAGGGGAGATTAAAAAAAAATGATTGTGAGTGTATAAGTATGAGATGTTTATAAGCATGAATTTTTCCTGTGGGTAAAAAAAAAAGGAGGCAAGTAAAAAAAAAATTCATCCTGGAAGTTTCCTCAGGGCCTGGGACTTTAGAAAGTATGTGCCCTGGGACAAAAGATGTCGCCGAGGAAAAGCTGATTGGTCTTTGCTCTCACACAGCTTACAGTCTACAGGGAGACGCAAAAGAAGGAAAAAGCAGAGGTACTGTATCAGAGTGAAAGGCCCATAAAAAAGGGCACTTGATTAAGTAGGACTCGAATGATGAGAAAGTTATGATAGAGAAAGAAGGGCGTGATTTTTTCTAGGAAGAGAATAAAAGCCCAGAAATGAGAAAGAAGGAACAGTAGGATCAGACATTAATAGAAGGATCTTTGAAGTCGGGCAGCCATGGGATAAAATCCCAAGTATTCCAAGTAGTAACTGTGTGACTTTGGTTAAAGTCACTTACCCTCTCCTTATAAAATGGAGATAATAATACTTAACAAATAAGATTTTCGCAAGGATCAACTAATAGAATGTTTATAAAGCATGCATAGAAGTTCTTCCACAAAAGTAGGCAACTACATTTATAGCAGAATCAGACATTTTGGGCATGAGTAGGGGTTCATGTGAGTCAAGAACATGCAGAGAGAAGCAGTTTATGTCACCCAGAGCATTTGGGCTATATGAAATAATTCAGTCCTTATGCTAAAAATAAGGGAGAGAGCCGCCAACAGATCTGTGTTTCAGAAAGGGGGCTTGGGCTGTAGTAGGAATGGTTGGAAGAAGAATAGAGGCAGGAAAACTAGTGAGGATCTGAATGCGGGTAATATCAGGGAAGAGGATTGGAATTTGGTGTATTTAAAAGATATTTGAATGCAAGACACCCATTTCTGGGAGTTTGGCAGGCAAGAGGAATAAAACTCTTCCCCAGGTGTATGTTTGTATGTATGCATATACCTATATATTTATATTAATATTTGAAAACAAGTTAATTTTTAAGTAAGGAAGGGAAATGTAAACAGGGCCAGAAATAAATCATTGGATGAATTGAGGGGAGTTAGTAAACTCTGAGGCTAATTGTTGTCATGGGTATGTCTACTGCTCTTGGGTAGCCTGGAGCTTAGGTTTCAATGACAGGCAAATGTGGAGTACAAGAAACAAAGCCTTGTCCCCACAACCCCAGCGCTCCACACGGATCCTACACTTACAGAGAGTTAATCGCAAAGAAAGGGTGACCTAGAAAACAATTCTGTGCAGTGTTAATATCAGACAAATAGTTCTAAAGGCAAAAATCTTATCACTGGAAATGAAGAAGGTAACAATATAATCATAAATCTTTTAATTTATCAGGAAAATGTAGTAATTCTAAACTTGCAAGCACCAAATAATATAGCTTCAAAATATACAAAGTGATAGTTGACATCAGAATGAGATATTTCAACATGGTGCTCTCACTATTACAACAGGAAGATAAAATAATAGGTAAAAGTATGAAAGATTTGAACAACACAATTAACCAATTTGTTATTGTTTAATAAATAAAATATATGTTTAAAGCACATATAAAAAACTGTACACCCAACTTTTGTGGTATATGTATTCTTTTGAAGCACATATTGAACATATTGTTCCATAAAGAAAGTCTCAAAAAATTCCAAAGAATCAATAGCACACATACCAAAATTGCTTAGTATTAAATTACTTAACACATAAATTGCTAAAATTTAGATGCATTTAGAAATCAACCAAACCAAAAATATGTTAAAATTGTTTACATTGTATGTGTAAACCACGCATGGGACAAAGCAGATTTCAAAATGCAACTTAGAAAATATTCAGACTTGACTATTTTTGAAATATTTTTGAAATATATTTGAATATTTTGAATATTTTGAAATATTTTTGAAATATATTTGAAACACTATTTCAAATTATATAAGATGCAACAACAAAAAACAATTACTCAAAAGGAAATCTATAGTTTTTAATATCTATCTCAGAATAAAATAAAGGTTAAAAATTATTTATCCAACTTAAGAAGTCAGCAAAAATCATAAAACACCTTAAAAGTGCATAAAGGAAGTAAAACTAAGAAAATAATACAGTTAAGATTAGAAATTCATGAAACAGAAAATAAAGTTACTGTATTAGCAACGCCAGAAATTCAGTTATTGGGGGCAACTGAGAGATGACAGAATTCTAGGAAGTTTTCACTACTTCGATTTATCATATGCTAGATGTCCTGGACTTCCCTGTTAAACAAAAATAAATAAGCATTGGAAAGAAAGAAACCAAACTGTCATTATTAGCAGATGACATAATTATCTACATGAAAAACTCAAAAGACCAATATTAAAATTAATAAGAAAGTTTAGGAAGTTGCATATGTAAATAAAGTAGATCATGATCAAAGACAGGTAGATTTAATACTGTAAAGTTGTCAACTTTGTGCAAATTGATTTATAACTTCAATGCAAATTTAATCACAACCTCAACAGGACTTTTTGTAGATTATGGTAAATGTTTTTAAAATTTATTTGGTAAAGAAAATGAAAAACACAGTCAGGGAATACTTAAAGCAAAGCAAAGTAGGAGAAACTGCTCTACTGCATGTCCAAACTTATGATAAAGCTACAGTATTTATTGGGAAAAGAATATAAAATACACCAGCAAAAGAAAGCTAAGAGGTAGACCCACACAGATATAGAAACATGATATAAAACGGGAAAGTGACACATTGTACAATCAATGGCAACAGAATGGTTTGCAGTTTTAACAAATAATTTGTTCCTTACATCACGTCATACACAAAAATCAATTCCAGGTGGGTTAAAATCTTAAATGCTGAAGATAAATTTTTATAGGAAATTGTAGGATATTTTTATGATTTCTGGGGAGTGAAAAGTTTTCTTAAGTCAAAACACCAAGTAAAAATATTGTTTATGTAATTTACATTAAAATTTAGAAGTCCTGTTGATCAAAAGAAAGAAACAACTTTTTTATTGATTACAAATAAACACAAAATAGCCATTGACTGGGAGTAAGAAATTTGCACATGCAAAACTGAAAAATGATATCAATCTACATATATAAAGAACTTCTAAAATTCACTAAGAAAAGGCAAACTACCTAATAAAAAATCAACAAAAATACAAACTCGTATATTTCACAGAAGAGAAAACAGATGGCCAGCAACAAATAAAAATATATCTACATACATTAAATTTCAAAGAAATTAAAACTAAACCACAACAAGATACTATTTATACCCACCATACTGACAAAAATAAATGGATTTAAAAATCAAGTGTTGGCCAGCATACAGAGTAATGGGAACTCTTAAACACTGCAAGAAAAAGTTTAAATTTTTGTGTATATACTTGGAAATAATTTGGCATTAATAGTAAAGTAGGAAATATGCATGTATAAAAACCCAGAAATTCTACTTTTGGGTATAAACTTTAATACAACTCCTGGTCATGTGGATTGAGTACATGTACAATAATTTCATAGAAAATATTGTAATAGTAAAAATATTCTTTTTAAACGACCATTGTTAGGAAAATTTACAAATAAATTGCTATATATTCATAAAATATTTTTCAATACAAATTTCAAGTAAATTCCACCTACAAACAACAGTATAAATATTAAACCCTACGGTTGAGTGAAGAAAATCAAGTTGTTGAAAGCATAGATATATTAGAATATCATGTTTATAGATTTTAAAACCAGGTAAAGCTAAATATTATATTGTTTGGGAACACATATAAAGATCAACAAGACAATGATTAACACAAAATTTAGAATAGTAATTAAGTCCGGAGGAGTGAGGAGGCACTGGAATGCTTTTAGATAAGCACAAAGTGAAATTAACAGAAAGTAATAGTGACTTTTATTTCTTAATTAGAATACTGGGTTCATGAATATTAATTTTATAATTTTGCTACAAATATACACTGTTCATAATTCAAATTTTAAATGTTGTGAAGTTGAATGCTAGTATTTGATTATTTTAAATGGTAGGGAAGAAGAAAGAATGAAAAATCAGCTCCACGTAGGTGTTTCTATTTAATGAGAGGAAGAAGAGGACCTGGTAAAAATGAGTATGGGCAAATGAGAGGGAAGATAATGACGAACACATTTTCCAACTGTTCAGATTCAGATAACTGAGGTACATCTTAGTAAAATGATGGGGAATCAACTTAATCTAGGACTGAATATGGCACAAGGGCTATGGGCCTTAAGTTCTGGGAATCATTGAAATAAATTATCTGAAGCCTTAGGAATGAATGAAATTGCCTGATGGTGGGACAGAGATTGAATAGTAATGATAAGAGAAACAGTATACACTGTTATTAATGTTACAAGTTGGATGTTCCAGTGAGCTCTCATCTCAGGAGGTTAAAGATCAGTAAATTGTAGGTTCTTGAACTGAAATTTATGTTCAGTAATTATGCAGGTCCTTCTTTGAGCTCCAGAATATAAGTGATGAAGAGAGATTTACTACAAGGACAAGAATCAGCAATTCATGGTTTCAGACGGGCTGCAAGAAAACCTTTGAAGGAAATGATTATCTTTCAATAAGTTTCTTAAAACCAGAGCCCAGAGACTTCTGAAATGTTCCACTTTCACTCCCTTGCTGGTCTTAATGAAGCAGTCATGTTATGAACCACCTACGAAGAGGCCCATGTGTCAAAACACTGCAGGTAGCCTGTAGGAACTCTGGGCCTCAGCCAAATAGCTAGAGGAAATGAATTCTGCCAAGATGTGAATGAGTTTGGAAGCCAGTTTATCTCATCTTCCAGATGAGACCCCAGACCTGTTGACATCTTGATTGAAACTTTATGAGATCTCAAGAAGAGCAAGCTAAGCCTGGCCCCAACTCCTGTTCCATAGAAACTCTGTGTTGATAAATGTGTGTTGTTTTAAGGTTCTAAACTTGTGCTTTAAGGTTCTAAATATGAAGCAATAGACAACATATATAATATTATGTACGTGGTATATGTATGTTGGATATATTCATCAGGATGTATCTGCTCAATGAGGAGAACAGAGGAAAATATGGCAGTTGGAGGCCCTCATCCAGGTAAATGATTGAGTCAGAAACATCAGTTTCTTGATGGACAAAGGAGGAGTGCAGAACTTTGATTGCAGATTGATTATTCTCTGAGCTTTTAATTTGATCATTTTGGGTTTCTGCCCTTAACTTACATGTATCTCTCTTCTAAGATATGCATTCATAGGTTGTATTAGCCATCACTAAAGGCAGCACACTTCTGGTTGAAGAATTATTTACAATGAGTAACATTCTCCTCCAGTTAAATCCTAGAAAATCCAAAGATGGACAGTTAGATAAACATAATTAGCTCACTTTTTCTGTGCATGTGGCATTATTCATTGGTTGCTTTTACAAAGTGGTTCAAATTTGCAATTTAATAAAACTCTGGAAAGCTTGGGGAAGTACATGGGGAAACAAAATTATTTGCTAGTATTGTGAATTCTTTAACATTAAATTGTATTTAATAATTATTACAAAAACTATTTATATCAGGTGCAAAAGAATATAAACCTACACCTCACAAATTCTTAGTAAGAGAAATTCTCTGAATGAAATATTGGGTCTCTTAAATTCTTCTCTTTTTCATGTGTTTCATTGATACTACAAAGATCTCACTGAAGGTCATTCATTCTTTTTGAGGTCTCTATAGTATCAGTGATCCTAGCCACATCTTTGATTTAGAACATCAAAATGTCATAATTGATATCAAACTCATGAACACCAGATCAGAGCGTTGAAGCAATATTTGATGCCACATCAAATATACTTGTTTTTTCTTTGTGTGTTCTTCTTGTTCTTGGCTCTCTTTGTCTCTTTAACCACTTTCCTCATAAGGGATCAAATTTGGAAATCTTCACATATTGACAATGGAGAATGTCTCTATAGGCTGAAATATACCAGACAGAGAGAAGGAGCTGATGTTACTAAAAAGGAAACCTCTACTGCTGATCTTTACAAGGTAGTAGCAGCTCATTGGTTGATCCATTAGGTGAGAATAATATAAAAATTAGGAAAGCATAATGCAATGCTGAAAAGAAAGATTCAGTGGAGAGGTTAAGTCAGAGGAGTAATAGAAAGACAAGAGAATGAGAATATTTACTGAGAAAACAAGAAAGAACAACTCAGAGAAATAAATGTAGAAGGGTTATATTAGCAAGTGAAGCTGGGAACTGCCCATAGCAAAGGCTGGTAAGGTCAGGAGACAGCCTCAGCTTCAACACAGCTGCTCTCTGGCATTATTAATGGCATAAGAGTGGATCTGGGAATTGGTAAAACAGTAACAGCTAAAACAGCAGTTTAAAACATAGGAGTAAATCTCCAAGTCATTAAGCCTATCTATGAATTATACACAAAAAGTACCTTCTTGCTGGAAGTACTTTTACTTTGACAAATAAAAATTGTGTGTATTTGTGGTGTATTTTGTGATTTTTTGATGTATATATAATTATGAAATTATTACCACAATCAAGCTAATTAGCATATCCATCACCTCACATAGTTATTTTGTTTCATTTTTTTGTTGCAAGAACATTAAAAATCTACTCTCTTAGTAAATTTCAAGTACACAATACAGTATTATTAACTACAGTTCCCATACTGTATGTTAGAGCTCCAGAACATTTACTTTAAACCCAGAGTAGTCTGAATATTGAGCTTGTTGTTTAGAACCACTTGGGGATTCAGCTCAATTTCCCCTAAGTCCTGCTTTCCACCTGCATAAGGGGACTCTGGAAAGATGAGAAAAGTTGTACTACGAGGCGTTCAGTTGCCCAAGTACTAAAAAATCCTCTCTCTTCCCAGTTTTCTGTTACTTAGAGTTATACCGTATAAATATTGTGCCCTAAGGAAAAAAGAAGTGAGAAGAGTATGCTGCCTATTGAATGCTAAAGCTCAATCCACCATAAAACTCCCTGCATCTTTCAAAAAAGACAGGAATGGGCTACCGCAGTGCTAGGAAAATTATTCCAGAGACCGGTGCATCTAAAACCCTAGTGTGCTTAACAATCATCTTTGTTAGAACAAAGACCTGGCCCCTGTGCCCAGAGAATCTAACAAGTTCTTAGGTTGTGCTCATGCCAGTTCATGGACCACTTATTGAGAAGCAGTAAGACAGACAATTGCTCCCCTTTAGTGGAATTCTTTCCTAGGGGAGCTGTCTGCACTTAGCTGTGTATTGTCTTCTTCCAACCTTCAGTGTGTACGATGATGACTTTTACCAATGCAGTGGGTTGAGGAGCCACCAGTGCCATCTCCACAGGGGTTCTCTCCTATACCACTATCTCTCAAGGCTGTTACTACCTTTTTATTCAGGAAAACAACAACATCCACAGAGAACTTTGAATATTCCTCTCTCCAAAAAGGACAGCAGGCACTGAGGCATTCCGCTCACTTAAGGTGATCCAATAGTGCCCAGCAATATTCAAGTTATTTTGCCACCACTTCAATACCTCCTCACTTGGCAGACATCTCCAATGTTGGTTTTTTTTGTAACTGTCCCACACTAGTGAAACCCTCACTGTGAGGTTTGGCTAGAGATAACTCAACTGGGCTGGTGGGTGATTTTGTGTCTCTCACTCTTTCTAAACACAACCCAGTAGACGCATGGCTTCATGTTACTTCAAGGGCTTTCCTAGCTGGAGATTCTAAGCTGGTTTGTTTCAAAATTTCTCCACATTTCTGACGGAAAAAAAAGGGGTGCCGATACTGATAGATGCCAGGCATTGTACTACTCCCTTATTTAAGTTATTTTATTTAATTCTCACAATAGCCCTTATGAAATAGATATTGTCATTCTCATTTTATAAATGCTGTAACTAAGATACAGAGAGATTAAATCACTTCATGAAATTGAATGGCTCAAAACCAAATAAACTGAGATTTGAATCTAATTTCTCACTGTTTTGCTACATAATTTGTCCCATTTCCTGAATTGCCTTAACTTGCAAATTACCCCAGGGTCATTATGGTTATATTTACAACATCTTTTCAATCTTAAAAGGTAAGACATCTCCCAATTTATGTTAAATAATCATTTTATCTTATCCTAAACCCGGGGCCTGAAGAAGCCAATATTGCCTTTCTTGTTCATTATCTCTTATTGCTCAATGGCAATCTAGAGAAATTACAGATGAAAAATGTCTCTGTTTCCCACAAGAAAGTTCATTTCTTCCATGCTAGAAAGAGTTATCACCATACTCCTTAATTTATTTAAAATACTTCCTAAAAATACATAGTAAGAACTTTCTAAGACACCTTTTCAAATGTTAAAGCCAAATTTATTCTGTTTAGAAAAAAAAAAACCTTTTAAAATGCTTCGTAAAAATCTGGCATCTTTAGACCATAATATAATTATAAGAGAACTATATGTTTCCCTCCTTTTTCTGTGTAAAGATTAGGATTTTTCAACCCCATTACAAATTAATGCATCCTTGCAAGAAGATTGAGGCTGGCACTTTTCATATTATCAGGAGTCTCCAGTTTCTTAATCTATTCATAAAGTCAGCAGAACTTTCTTGAACTCCTACTGTGTGTTCAGCATAAAGGACACATCGGTGAACAAAACTGACCAGATATTATCTCCACTGTTATGAAATCTGAAGGCATGTGACTATCACTGAGCCTTCTTAAGTTTTTTGTATTAACTGTAGTAATAAAAAAGCTAAAGCAATCTTATGAAAGATTTTAATTCAAACAGAAATGTTAATAAGGCCAATGCACTGATCCATAACAATATTGCCTTTTTAGCATCATAAATTTATATGTTAATTATGCAATTCAATCACAAAACTAAGTTTTTCATGGCATTTTCCTTTTCTCTGGGGTAGAGTTTCAAGTGCCACATAATAGTAATAGTATTAAATCCAGTAACATTAGTAGGAAGCATGAACTGTTAGACATTTTATATAGTACAATGTCTACTTTTGACTTACTAATTAGAACAAATCTTCAGAAATCAAGGTAAATATTATCATATTGCTTATCTTTAGGTATCTTTAAGTATACAGATTGTTTATAAGGAAAAATTTTGATCATTACTTCAAAGTTAACTGTCTTCCTACCCAAGCTGTTTTGGTAGACTTGTTTCTGGGTTTCAAGTAGCATCCTACTTGCCTTCTTAACACACCTCCATCTTTCACCCTTGTGCAGACAGAAAAAAAAAATCAGTGTGTCAACTTTGTTTCATGAAGACCTTATAAAGAGGCATTTAAGGTTGTAGTGACTTTTTAAAAAGAATAATCAGGGAAGAGAAGGTACAAAGAGAACATTCTACAAGTGCAACAAATATCATAGGCGTATGAAAAATAAAAATTGGTAAACTAAATATGCTCATTAAAATACTTAACGGGATTATAAAGTATAATAAGAACTATAAAGAAACACATAAATATACTTCTGGTTCTCTTAGACTAGATAAGAATCACTCATTTCTTTAAGTCAGAAATTTATTTCTCTAGGGCAATGAAAAGAAAGAAACAAATTGAACATCTTTATAGCTATAGAATTAACCTGATTCTCCTTAAAATTTCACTGATTTCTATCATCGGGCATAATACAGGGATTTTATATATGCTGGAAGTGATGGATGTATACTATTACTTATTACCTATGAAGTAGGGATGCAGGACAACATTGCCCATGTTTTAGTGGAGGAAAGCCAATTTCTGCTTCACTTCCCCAGGAAGGAAAAGTGTAAGAGGCCTGCCTTCCATTTCTCTACTTGCTCTCTTCTCCTCTCTCAGTTGGAAGTAGAGCGACTTACCTGAGTGATAAGTTTGAAAGAAAAAGCTTGGTGTGCTTGACGTAGGCCTTGTTGGCCTTTTTCAGAGTCAGTCTGCCTGCGAGATGCATGTGTTCTTTCTCGCTCTCCACATTATGGTTAAGCCCATGAGAGCAGCCTGTATTCCAATGGAGGTATTAGTTGTTATCCATTCAAATCTGATTAATTTAGGAGATTAATAGGTGAATCTTTTGGTCACACATAAAAAGCCATTCTCTCCAGTAAAGTTTGTCAGAAACGAAGTTAAAATTTTGAGCTCCACTTGTCAGTCCTCAATCAGTTACAAACTCGGAAGTAAGGGGACAAAAATGGGTGCCATTTACAGGACCCCTAAATCACTTACATTATTTAAATACTCAATTTGTTGGCACTAGAAAAGTCAACTTTTTAAAGAACTATAAATAGTTTTTAGGCAACCTTAAGCATAAAATTCAATAAATGATCTGGGCTTAGGAAAAGGATGTAAAAATAACTATACTTATTTAGAAATTTAGTGTAAATATCATTAATATATAAGTACTACAGATACAAATATAGAGAACAGGAAATGTCAGTTTTTTCAATGTCCTTTTTAATGCTATTATCAAATTTTTCAAGAATGGATGCATTAAACATATCATGCATAATTAATCAAATTTTTGAAAACTCATTGCTGGAGAAACACACCAAATTTTAAGTTGTTTTACCATAATTCATTTTAGTTTTTGATTATTGTTGTTTAAGTGTTTCACTATAATCATTAAGCTCTTGTAAATTATTTTCATTCCACCAGCTAAAAAATTGTGTGTATATTTGTGTGTGCATGTAAAATGTGTGTGCATACACACATACACATGAAAGCACACATATAAATATGAATATGAACTATAATTTGCAATTAAATTATGTAAGGGTTATTTGCTGGTGAGATCTTTCTCTGGACAAGCATGCTCTCTAACCTCTATATTAGTTAAATAGGGATTCCTTGGGTGGCTTTTAAGTTTAACTTCACACTGACTGGAAGCAGAACTATAAGCAAAGTAATCATCCCCACTTAACAAACATTTCCTTCCTCATCCCCCCAAAACTACTGTTCCTCTTAGCCCTTAAGAACAAATTTTTAGTGTTTCCTTATATGCATTTATTCAAAAAAAATTTATCTATACAAATACCCATATGTATACAGTATGTTTTGTTGTTGCACTCTCTGGCTTGCATATGCACACACACATATACACCCAGGGTTATATTGCTCCTCTTTCTTTGGTAAGTGCATTTAAAAGCACAAACAACTATAAGGGATCTAATCCATTAAGTGCCAATCATTTTCATATAATGCTTTTTTTTGGCAAATAAGGTTTTATGTATAAAAGTAAAAAATAATCCTTAGTCTATGGCTCCTTGTTTAACTAAAGTTTTGAATTTCAAATAGGTTAAAATTAAAGTATGTTTTCTGGGTCTCTTCTCTATCTTTTCCCTGGGTGATCTACCACCTCACCAACTATGTACACACTGAGCTGTTACATATATGTATCTTCAAAACTATATATCTTTCTGCCTGCTGGAAATCTTCAACATGTCTAAAGTTGAATATCCAAAATCAACATTCCCCAAAGTGAATACCAGAGTTTTTCTGTCATACACACTCACTTTCTTATGTTCTCTATCTCAGAAAGGACACCTTCACCCAAACCAGAAATCTTGCTTTCATCCCAGTTACCTTCCTCTCTCTACTTAATTCCTTCTCCCATATCCTATTAGTCATCAAACTTTAATCCCCCTAAACATATTCTTTCTCCTTATAGACCATCAGTTCTCACTAGATTTTGACAGTGGTTTCCTGATTTATCTCATCTGCTCTTCCCACAGACCCTACCAATCCACCCTCCATATAGTGTGAAAATCATCTTTTAACAGGCAAATCTGATCATGTTAACTCTCAAAGGGCTATGGGGACCATCCCATTACTGATGTCACTGCAACATGTAGTGATTAGATAATTTAGTGACTTAGGGATGTGAAGCTTCTCCCCTTCCTATCTAGTACTGTAGATCATACCATATGTGAAGTTCTAACACAAAACAGGAGTGAAATTATCAGGATAGAAGGCATTCCTACAATGTGTGTTTTGGTTTAAGGATGAAAACTAGATGCTGCCTTTTCTATTTAGTGGAAGGAAACAGTTGAGGCTTTCTTGAGTCAGCAGTTGTGCAATATTATCCTGATAATTTTAGGCCCTGGTTTCTACAACTTTATATAAAGCTGTAGTTTGCAAATCATCACTTCACCAATAAACTGCCAATTTATGTAGCTTCACATTGCCTAGTAACTTCAACATAATTCCTGGAAGAAGGAGGACTGGGGCCTCTTTTACCTAACATGCTCTGTTTTCATTGAAGAGCTGAGCATGTAGAAGGTAAATGTGCTGAGGGACAGTCCTCCAAAACCCGGTTTTCTAACGTGAAGCTGTTATCAGCAACAGAACCAAGCAGAGGAAGCATGTTTACAAGATCACAGCAACATCCCAGTCCCCAGTCAGGCCTTTGTGGTTTCAAAAAGCTGCAAATTCTGTCAACAGCAAAGTCTGCATATCCTGTTCCTGTTTTACCATGGCCTTCTAGTTTATTTCCCAACTCCAGCATCCATCAATGTTTTATTCCAGTGACTATCAAAAGTGAAAGTCAAATGTTCTGTACTTTACTCTCTGACATGTGAATTTCAATCCAACTACTTCTAATTCCTTAGACACACTTCAGTCTTGACTGCTCCTTTGCTCTCACCCTTTCCCCTGATCTTGTGAATTCATTTTTCTATGCCATCAAACACTTTTCAATTAATATGCCTTTATAGGAACTTCGTTCTATGTCTTGATTTAATCATTTTCTTCACAACTCTTCACTAAACTTATAGGAAAAGAGGACTAGACAGTGCACCTTTTTTCTTCTTATTGACAATTCTATACTCTTCCCTCCATTTCTGAGTCTCTTATGTTCCTCATTTGCCTTATGGTTTCACTTGCCACCTATGCCCCAGAGACCCAATAGCCAGATATGTGTAATGTTATGAATCACCCTCTAGATTCCCATGAATGACATACTTCCTGATTTGGATCTGTAAATACATCTATGCCTATATATGCTCTATATTTCTAAAATAAATTAAGTTTATAATATAAACATGATTGTTTTTACAAAAATTGATGTGTGTAACCTTTATCTCCTTTGTTATTATTTTACCTCATCTCCAGGTATGAGCTTGTTGCTGACATTCACTTCCAACCTCTAATACCACAGTTTGCTCTGTACCTAACATTTACCTTCTCCTTGGAGTAAGAGTGAAATTTTAGCTAGTGGTCATTTGGGAGTGGGATAAGGCAAATGCGATGAATGGGACAGAGCCTAAGAATTAAATCTCAGAGATGGGGTGGAGATCAAAGACATAATGAGTGTCAGAATTAGTTCAAGCCTTAAGAAATTGTTGAAGGTTAATAATGGAGTTAACTTCAAGGAAGAACTGAAGCTCAGTGATGAGGTAAATATCTGAAATGTTGAACATATTACTCAATACAAGAACTATGAAAGTTTATTTATTTTTGCTTTTTATCTAACTATGAAATGCTTATACCCGAACATGGTTTCTTTAGTCCTTTCTACTTTAAGTACCTCACCATTACATTTCTGTAATGCCACTATTTCAATCTCCCTGGTCTTTTTTTTTTTTAAAAAAAGAAAAGTCTAATTTTTATACAAAGGAATTGCATATGCCTAATGCATGTTTGATGAGTTGGGACATATTTATGTACCTGTGATACTATCACTGCAATCAAGATAATAAACATATTCAACACTTCCAAGTTTCCTTATGCATCCCACTCCTTTTGTTGTAAGAACATTTAATATGAAATCCACCTTTGTAACAAATTTTTAAGTGTATCATATCCTGTTGTTAACTATAGGCACTACGTTGTACAGCAGACCTATAGAACATATTTGCCTTTCATAACTGAAATTTTATAACCATTGACCAACAATTCCCCATTTCTGTTCCTCCAAGTCCCTTAGAAACCACTATTCTGTTCTCCATGTGTTGGACTATTTTAGATATCTCATATAAGTAGAATAGTAGAGTATTTGTGTTTATGACACTGACTTATTTTAATTAGCTTAGTATCTTCCAGGTTTATCCATGTTGTTGCAAATGTTAAGATTTCCTTTTGTTTTTGTAAGGCCAAACAATATTCCATTGAATATATATTCCACATTTTACTTTATGCATTCATTTGTTTATAGACATGAGAGTTGTTTCCATATCTTGGTTTTATGAAAAATGCTGCACTAAACATGGAATTACAGTATCTCTTTGAGATCCTGATTTCATTTTTTTGGATATGTATGCAGAAGTGGGATTGTTGGATTATAAAGTCTCTCTATTTTTAGTTTTTTGAGGAATTTTCATGCTATTTTCCATAATGGTTTTACCACTTTACATTTTCACCAAGAATGCAACATTATATTGAGGTCATGAACATGTGTGTATATACAAATGCATGAATAAATGAATATCTTTTCTGCCCCCTGATTACCATTTCTTTGTGGACCAGAGATATTTTATAAATACCACAAAAAGTTGTCCTATTCCCAGTTAGTTGATGCCCTTGTATTGGAACTTCCAGTTCCAGTATTACAATTGTAGACTATGGGAGTCAGTCAGCACTATGGTGGAGGTTTTTTGGTTCTAGCCCCACCACTTACTTCTTGGTCATGTTTCTGAGCTAGACACTGGGGTCAAACTTCAACTGTAGACAGTGAGTGCTGACTTGGGAGTGATGTTGTCTCTACTTCAGAAGTTTGAGGGTTATGGATTTATCTGAAGCCTACACAGTGGCCAGGATAAGAAATGTGCAGTTTCTAGGCTGAAGTTTTATCACAAGCTTTTTTGTAATTTTCAAGGCTGTTGGGACTGGAATTGGTAAATTTCTTTTATTTTCCTTTTAATCAATCTATTATTTAAATACATGTGGCTATATTAACTATATTAATTGAAATTTTTCTCAAAAGTTTGGTGAAAAAAATTATAATTCTTAATATTTTTTGCTTCAGTAGGAATACATACATAGATTTTAAGAAAAAAGGATATAGAAAAATCAAGAAAACCAAAACTTGACGTATTTTATATGTATATAACATCTATTCTATACTTTAAATCTTTTCAAGAATAGGCATTGTGTTTTATATGTATTTAATTTAAACACTCATAAAATTCTGAAATTAGCTATGATACTGATTTATATTCTAACACTGGAAATAAAACAAGATTATTTTTCTTTCTTTCACAAAGAGCAAAGGGTTTCAGAATCAAGTTTGTCTTCAAGCAGCAGCAAACGCTTGCTGACAAGATATTTTGGAACAACTTGCTATTAGGAAGGAAGTATGAGTGGGAGGATGAGAAATAGCTCATGCCCATATGACACATACAAGTTGTGAATGTGTTAGAAGTCCATGATGTAAAACATAAAAGGGTATAACAATTTATCTCAGTGACAGAAAGGACCTTATTCTAATCTTTTGTTTTTACAGCTCTATCCTGAATTAGATTTTTTTATCTCTTTACTTTGCTCTCATTTATTTCAATCAGGTCATAAGATGATGCTTATAAACATTACAAATCATAACATCAGGAGATAACATAGAATCTGTCAAAATATCTTGAACAAACTGCATGGACTTTCATGTTGAAGCCATTTGCCCTTGTTACTCCAGGCAAACATGGCAAAATCATTGCTGCATGAGAAATATTAGTGAATATTATCCTCTTTTTTTCGTCTAATAGTAATTTATGCTTTTCGAGTTGCCTTATCTAAAACTGTCATGATGGCTTTATATGTAAGCTTGTCTGCATCCCACATAAATTGGTAGTAAAAAGGACACTGTCAAATTATTATCCTAGAACAAACGATAATCAAGTGATTCTTTTCCAACAATACAATACACAGAAATTGGAAATCCATCCAATAATTTGTTCAACAAACAATTATTGAGCTGCTATAATTTTCAAAACTCTTTGATAGGTGCTTGAGGAATTCAGACATGAAGATCATGGTATTCTGTTCTTGAGGATTTTGAAGTCTACTTTGGACCCAAAACCAATATAATCCTAGTTTCATCTCAGCTATATCTCCTACATACACTATTTGTTATAACTTGTAGCAAATAAACTCTCTCCTTTGAACCCTTGTAATACTCTGAATTTTCCTTATGGAATAGAATTTTGTCAATCATATATAACAATAGTATATTTATTTATACAAGTCATCAGAGTAGTTTGTAAGACTTTGAGTTCTTTGAGGACATAAATAATACCTTATATATTTTTTAATCTTCTGCAGCACATTGCATTGATCATTACAATGTAATATGAAATCACTAATACCTATTAACCAAGCAGTTTATGGGGAATGCCAGATGAATGGTACATTAAATTAAGAGTTATGGGAAGAAAGAGGAAGGGAAGGCAACTTCCAGCTTGAAGCCACACAGAAATGCTTATTGGGTAATGGCATTGAATTCTAGATGAATTACCACCTTTTGATTCAGAACATTCAGGTGTTTACTCCTCTAAGTTTTAAATTTTAAATTGCCAAACTAGCAAATGGAAAAAAGGGACATTATCCATCCATTTTTAAAATTTCTTTATAAAATAAGTACATATTTTTTAAAAGTACAGACTGCATATTGTTTCAGCTATGTGTTGATTCCATCCCAAAACTTGGTGGAATAAAGCAACAACCATTTTATTGTATTCCTGATTTGGTGGGTCATAAATTCAGACAGGGCACTGCAAATATAGGTCATCTCTTCCACATGATGCTGGCACCTCAGCTGGGGTGATGCAAACAGCTGGAGCTGACTGGGATGAGGGTTTTCAGGAGTCCTTGGTTGTCCCTGTCAGTTGAATTCCTTGGTTGTTCTCCATATTGGTGCAACAGACACTGGCACGTGGGCTGGGAGCCCGGCCCAGCTGGGTTTCTGTGTCACCTCTGTCTTTCCACTCAGCCTGTCCATGTAGACATTGGGCTTCCTTGCAGCAAGATGGTCTTGGGGTAGGTGTGGTATCAGGATAACTACAGTGAACGTTTCCATTTAAAAAGGAGGAATGAGGAATGAGTAGTACTTACTAGTTCATAGCAGTTCTGATCCAGCCAGTGCAACAATTCCAGTTCCTTGATTAGGGCCCAGCTGTGCTCCCTGGGAGTGGTTCCCTGTGGTTCTTAACTCCACTCTCCAGCCAGGCGGCTCTGCACTCTGAGACTTTCTTCCTTTTCTACAGAGAATGGCTCATGTTTGTAGGTGATTAACTGTCTCAGCCTGCTTTCTTCCCATAGAAATTTGAAAGCCTATGATATTTTTGCTTTGAACTGATCCTCTCTTATTTAATGCAATTTGTTAGTGCTTCTACCAATGCAAATGTCTTAAAAACATTGTGGGTTTCTCAGAATATTATTGATGGTTACATGATTAGGCAAAAGCATACACACAGATGTCTTTACAACAGTTCATTCTCTATCTCGACCTGAGGCTTAGGGTGCTGTGGTATAACACCCTTAAAATCCAGAGACACCCTCTAGCAGAGAAGGTCTAAAGGGCAAGTTAACAAGCTTTGTTTTTCTGTCTACAAGGCATGACATTAAGTCTATCTGTAGTCCCAATACACAGTTAAAACTGCATTTGACTCCACTTTTAAACTGAGATGATGTTTTACTAGAAGGTTCCTGAATTTGATCATTACTCTGAGGCCATTTCTTCATTTAACAGCCTAAATCTCAGTGGAACAACTGTCCTTGACCATTTAATACCTAAGTTCTGCCAAACAGCTAAACACTTCCTTCATAAGTTTATCTCTGTTTTCTCATATTTTATCACATATGTTTAGAATAAATCAGTTAGTACTGTCAACATACTATTTACCCAGCCAGATCAATGAGTTTTCTTGGGTACACTTTCTATTTTCCACATTACCACAGATAAAGCTGATATTTCTGCCAATACTTAACTTGAACCTTCTTTCCTGCGGCTTTTTATTGCAGAAGCAACTGAGTTCTGGTTCCAATAACTGTATCAGTTGGGATTCAATCAGAAATACAGAAACACTGTGCATGGCAGGAAAAAGAAATTTATTATAAGAATTTGAACTTACACAATTGTGAGAGAAGCTAGGGATGTAAAAGTCCAAAAAAAGGGAGTAGCGATACTAGAGAAAAGTTAACTAGCCAGTCCTGACACAGATGGATGAGTCAGTTCTTACATGGAAATTTGGAAGCTATGCACATACAGCTGCAGAACAGGGGCAACAAAGGGAGACAGGTATAGAAATATATGGAAGGTTATTGGCTTTTCATGGCTAGTGTCTCTGTGACTTTGCAGCACAGCGAACTACAGCCTAACTGTTTGAAATCACCTGCAGAGCTGCATCTGTCTCCCACAGCCTGACTGATGATGACCATTAGAGGGTAATGGTTGTGCTTTGCTTCCATCTTCCAGAATATTTGCAATATAACTTTTGGTCAGCTAGAACCTACATACAGACATGGAAGTTGCTTTTAGGAAACAGTTCCCAGCTTAATCAAGTTGATGATAGAACAATTCTTAACCACATTCATTAAAGAAAACGTGGCAATTACAAACAAACATATAATATAGCAGAATAAAAACTGCTCATGAGCTTATTACCAAGATGTAAATGGCATTAACGTCTTAGCAGATTCTCACCTTTTATTCTCTGAAAACTTTTCTATTTTGTTATAGAAGATTTAGCATTAGCGATTTGCTTATGAAGTACTGCAACACAGTGATTAAAAGCCCACATTTTGGATTGGTCAGCTAGATTTTTTTTTTTTTGAGACGGAGTCTCGCTGTGTTGCCCAGGCTGGAATGCAGTGGCGCGATCTCGGCTCACTGCAAGCTCTGCCTCCCGGGTCCACGCCATTCTCCTGCCTCAGCCGCCTGAGTAGCTGGGACTACAGGTGCCCACCACCAAGCCCAGCTAATTTTTTGTATTTTTAGTAGAGACTGGGGTTTCACTGTGTTAACCAGGATGGTCTCGATCTCCTGACCTCGTGATCCGCCCACCTCGGCCTCCCAAAGTGCTGGGATTACAGGTGTGAGCCACCGCACCCGGCCTTAGCTAGATTTAAATACCAGATTCGTCACTAAGTATATGTATGACCTTTGGACAAAATAACAAACACCTCTTCTCTCTGTTTATTTTATGTAAAATGAGGATAAAACTAGTACCTACCTGTAATAGCTAGAATATGGTCTTCCAACGATGTCCATATCTTAATTCCCATAATATGTTAGGCTTTATTGTAAAGGAGCATTCAGATTGAAGGTATAATTAAGGTTGCTGATCAATTTACCTTGAGAAAGGGAGTTTATCCTGGATTATTCTGGTGGTCCCAGTGTAATTAAAAGGGTTCTTAAAAGTGGAAGAGGCAGGAGAGAGAGAGCAAGAGATATGGCAGTGTGAGAACTCAACATAACCTTAATAGCTTTGAAGATGGAGCAACGGGGCCACAGGCTGAAGAATGCCAGTTAGAAAGAAGCTGACAAGGGGAAGAAAATGGATTATTTCCTAGAACCTCCAGAAGGAACACAGCCCTGCCAACACCTTGAGTTTAGCCTAGTGAGACCCATTTTGGATTTTTGACCTCCAAAACTGGTAAGAGAAGAAACTTTTGCTTAATTAAACCACTAAGGGTATAATAATTTGTTACAACAGAAATAGGAAGTTAATACACTACCTCATGGGATTGTGGTGAGAATTAAATGGGATGAATATAGGAAGTTAATACACTACCTCATGGGATTGTGGTGAGAATTAAATGGGATGATACATGTAATCATGATTAAAATAGGTCCTGGCACATAGTAGTTCCTCAATAAATGTGATAGTTTGCTATTTCACTATGTATATATGTATCAAAATACCATATTGTACACCCTAATTTATACAATAAAGTTATAATCATTTAATTATATGAGATATGCTGTATATGTATATATATATAAATATACATATTCCCTGTTGTTGGATAATCTGTGTTCAATTTCTTCTTACAAAAAAATGCTTAAGTGGGCAAAATCTATGGGGAATTTATCTGTCTCCATGCCTGTTGTAGACTTAGTGGCTAATAAAATATCAGCCACACAGTAAGGCTCTATAAATAAATATTCATTAAGGAGATGAATAAATGGTCAGACTATTTGTGCCTATATATTTTTTATTCACATTTGTCTTTTGTCTGTAGGCTAGATTCCCAGAAAAGGAATTACTAGATCAAAATGAGCTGAACATTTTCATGCTCTTTATACCTACTGCCAAATGGATTTTCATAAAGGTTATGCCAATTTACACTCCCACAGCATTGTATGAATGTGACTTCGTCATCCTACCCATGCTAACATTGAGTATCCTGCATTTAAAAGATCTCTGATAGCTTTTTGCCAATTTTTATCATTCTTTTTATTATATTTTCAATTATTTTAGTGTGATAAACTTCTTAATGGTTATTTTATTTTTTATTGGTCTTTTTAAACATTTCTTTTGTAAATTCTTTGAGGATTATTTTCAAATTACAAATTATTTTAAACATGTGGAACAAAAGCACAGAAAATATGTCCTTCTGAACTTATCAGAAAAATTTGACAAATACTGGCAATTTCACAATATTAACTTCATTTATTGACTGATTTGCTTTTGTGATAGAATGTTATAGCTATCTTAAAATGCCTTGTATTTTCCTTTCTCTTTCTCCCCAGAGAGTATTTCTGTTCTGCATATTCTTCTTGTTTATGCTTTTATATTCACACACAACCCACGTGTACACACAACTAGTATGTGCGATACTCTTTTTCAAGTTACCTCTGTTTGCTTTACCAAGGTGTTAGTATTTTTGATATTAATCTATGAGTTCTTCATGTTACAAGGATTTTAACTCTTTGCTTGTCATAGTTGGTGTATTTCCCCAGTTAGTCATTTTAATTATGTTTGTTAAACTGATTTTCAACTGACTGCATTTACTTGAAAATCAGCTAGTTCCACTGATTTTTGTTTTGTTTTGTGCAGACTTAAGACTAAAGTTACAAGATTTTTATTCACATATTTGATTTAATAGTAAAGCACAATGTAGTAATCATTAAGACTTTCTGATTTATAATGTCTAATCTTTTTTACAATGAACTGCGATAAATATAGACTGATAGCAGCTATTAAAAATCTGTTATCTGATTATCTTAAGGTGGAATTTGTAAAACTTAGGATCTCTAAAGGTCTTGTATCTTAATTAATTCTCTCTTTTACAATATTAGCTTATAGTGGAGGCTGAAATGATAGTGGTTTCATTAATTAAAACCTATCAAAAGAAAAAAATTCATAGGTAATCTAATATTCATCCAATTTCAAGGAATACTTACAGAATACCTTTTTCTGAGCTGTTAAAATCAAGAAAGTCTAACATGTGCCTTTCAATGGTAGGTTTTCCTGATCTTCATGGAAAAATGTTAGAATTCACTCAACATGGTTTAAGGGTGTGATATTTTCATGAAAAATAAAAAATGATTTAATAAAATAGATGTAATTTATAATAAAATGGCATCCTTGTATACACAGACAAGAGATTATGAGAAGAAAATCTATTCAGAATTTCTCATTTAAAAATCAAGAACTACAAATCAGATGAAATTATTAAATAATATGTAAGTACTTTCACAAAACCTATAACATTCAGTCAATGGATAAAAATCTAGGAATTGCTTTCTTTTGAGTTTTCTTTACATGCAAGCTACCACAAAACAGAACCAGAAATGAGCCAGTATTTGTTATGGATGTGTGTGGAGAAAGAGATGATTTTTCCTCTCACAATATCTTAAAATTATGACCATTTGTTGGCCTAAGAGAATAAGTTATAATTAAAAAATCTGTCATAAAAATGTGGCCAATGTGCAGTAGCTATGTTTATGTATGTTTAGAAATCAACAGATAGAACTACAAGGGATATATTTCCATATTTGAAAGTGGCAATTGCTTAATATAAAAGTATTTAAAATTTCTTGAACACGTGTACACACAAGAAAAGAAAAAAAACTGAGGCATCTATTGTTATCTCTTTGACCATAGATATAATAAAAGCAAAATAAAAATTAAAGGATTTATAGCTAAAAAGTAGGTTTAGTGGATATTACCAAGTGGAAGTGTTTTTATTTAAATATATATAAACTTATAATATATTTCAGCAAAGCAAACAACCAGTACAATTAAGTCTACAGTGCTAAGTATATCATAAATATAAAAAATTAAAATGTGTTTTTGGTAAACTCTCCATTAAGAAAGTACAATCTCTTATCCTATCCACCCTGATTTTAAATTAGTCCCCTTCAGTTTTCTCTCAGCTAGCTCTGCTGGAAACGAGCAAAAAGCACAAATGAAAAGTAGAATTAAATTATATTGCTTTTCTTTAAAAACGATTCATCAATTTAAAGTACTTGGGCAAATAAAACTGACAAGTGGCTTTCTTCATTGAAGATGCCTAAGAGATGTGAAATGATAATTTGGCTTTTACTCCTCTAGTCATGTAAATAAGAAAGGCCACAGTTTTAAAAGAGATAGCGCACTATTTTGGGAAATAGTTTCAGGAATGAAAACATTAGAAGATAGATTATTTATAAGCTATGGCTTTCCATACTCCAATGTACATATGTTTTGGCATTGGGATAGCCAGACTTGAATTTGAAAACCTTATACTGTTACTCAGAAAGCATTCTGCTATTTCATTACAATGTTTTTGGTCTTTTTTCCCCCGTCAGGATTAAAGTATATGGCAAGCTATCTTTAGTAAGCTGACCTAATGGTCTCTTTCATCCACTTCTTCCCAAAAACGCACCCTAATGGAAGGAACCTTCTTAAGTGCCCTGGGAAGAAATCTCCTTGGGAAATTCTTCAGAAGGCTATTTAGAGAACACATGGTGACTGAAATAGTTTCTGAGGAGATGCATTGGCTTTTCTGAGAGAGGGACTGTCTGGGCCTCCCTTGCCAGATTCTTCCGTGGATAGTTCTTTGCTCTCTCTGGTTTTCAGCCTGTTGGAACTTATCTAATTTGTTTACAGAAAGAAGTTTCATATTAAATGCTTATTTATGATATGACATTCAGAAGAAGATGTAAAAGGAAAAAACTGAAAAGAAAGGCCGGGGTCTCTGATTGGAATTCAAAAACTACAGAAAATTTAGGAAGTGTAGATTTCAGGTGCTGCCAAACAGACACAAGACAGACACCAGATGAGATTTCTAAGCCACCTCAAGTTAGCAGCTCTTGAATTCTAGAAAAGTAAAGAAATATTTTAATTTTAACAAATAAATATTTGGGGGTGTATGCAGCCTGTCTGACTGAGATTTGCACAAGGAAATCTGAATTTTTAATTTCCTTAGGCTTACATCATTTTATTTCTAAATATATACATTTTTTGGTCTCCAGCTCATTAGCAAATAAATGCCCCTAAAAACAGAACAGTTCTAAAGATATGGGCTTATGTTCCAAAAATGAGATATTTTCATTTTATTCTTTTTTGTATGGCCACAGGTGGCATCTCTAACTATGGCTAGTCATTTGTGCTGCTACAGCCATGATATTTTAAAAATACACTTATTACATTTTAAAAAGAAACTTCAAAATTGAATCTCTCCTAAAGCTTTCCACAGGCATCCAGTTGTCTAGGTCTTGCAACTAATCATGAAAATAACATGTAAAAAATGAATAAAGCACATAGGCTAATCTGGAAACTTCTATTACCTGTCCCATGTTAGCCTCAATTCCAGAACTGATGATGGAAAGTGTCTTGTTGATTGAGACTGATAATATCTAATTCAGGTATTTCCATCAGAGAGACAGAGACCCTCCAAGTCAAATATTATCTACATAAAGGAAAGGAGGAGAGGCTCAAACGACAAGCTCAGCTCCTGACTAATTGCCACAATAATACAATGTGCAGCTTTGCTGCCAGAGAGCTAAATTGGCACACTGTACCTTCTTGTTGGAATTAAAAGATGGCTGGGGGAAATACAAGAATACTCTTATAAAAAAAAAGTATGAGGTAATCTTGTTATAAGTTTTCCAAACTTCCCTACTGAATGTTTGTTCCAAACTTTATTTAAATAGCATGTTACTGCGATACCTCATTTACATGGTGTGTCAAAGTGTTATAATTTCCACATTTCTAGACTCCCAGGTCCAAGACAGCATTGCATAATGAAGGGAAAGGATACAAGATTTCTAGGAATGAATTTTAGTGTAAATAATAATCAGTTATTCGATCAACATTCCAAGGACAATGAGGAATCTATGATGTATTGTTTATTAGATATTCAATGTTTTTACCCTCTATGGATTGAGGCACTTTCTGTAAATATGGAAAGGGGATTCATTATACTGTGGAGTATTTTCTGAAAATTCTGTTACTTTTTTTTTTTCATTTGCGTTCTATCACAAAATTCATCTAAGCATAGAAATGGTTGTTTCTCATTGGGGAATTTATCTGCCAAAATGTTATTGCTATAGGAAATGTATGTCACATTGGATTATCACTTGGCACTGTTCAAGCCAGAACAGTGTGAGCTTTAAACTTGGTTTAAAAAAATCTAATTAGTATCAACTGAAAAAGAAGATCCCTCAAAAAAAATTATTTCTTACTTTTCCTATTATGAAAGGTGATTTGTGATAAAAATTTTTAATCTGTAATCATTTTTGCTATGCAAAATCAAATTTGACATTTTTAGAATATATTATTCTGAGTAATAGGCAAATTTCCTTAAAACGTGCTTAAAAATGGGGAAAATTAAATGAATAGAAAATATTATTCCTAGTGAAAAGCACCTGTGTGGGCAATAATGAATGAAAATATAAGAATGTAAGGAGTTTATTACTCTATTCAGACAGTTCTCTAGGTAAATTGAGAGATGTTTTTGATATTCAATCAATAATAATTTATTGAGTGACTATTATCTGGCAGTTACTGCATTAAATAATAAAAATGAGAAGACTCTATGAAGACTGGATAAAGACTGAATAAGACTCTATCATTTCATTTAACTGCTTTATGATCCAATCTGCAGGCACACATAAAAAGACTGGCTGTAATCTTCAACAAAAATCAGTAGGAATACACACACAAACACATCCATGTATACGTATTTGCACATATATACATATTCATACATACATATGTATGTATATGTATTTGCACACACAAATTCATGCATATATATTTGCATACAATCATCTGGAAAAGGATGAGATTAAAACACACACACACACACACACACACACACACACACACACACACACGAAGAGCAAGCTGCTTTTTGGAATCTGACAGACCTGGATGTCACTTGAACCGTGTTGACCCTTGATTCCTTATCAAATGGGTTGACAATATTTCCTTAGAGGGTTTCTGAGAATATTGAAGGAGACAATAGATGCAAAACATTTAGCTCAGTGCCAGCCATGTAAAAACAGTAAGAAATATATAATTATTATTATATTTCATTTTATTTTGAAAGACTTCTTGGAGGAGGGAGCATATAAACAGACATTGAGATATGAGGATATAAAGAAGTATTATTAGGAAAAGGAAGTAACAGAATAGTATACCATAAGTAGAGAAGGAGAAAGTGATTCCAGAACAGGTAGGCACTTCTATCGCCATTAAATAGTATATGGCCATTTACTATTCCATTTCATAAAAAAGAAAATTCTAAGAGCAAAAAGAGTGTTTTAAAAAAACATATATATATATATGTTAAAGTTTTTACATTGAAATAAAGATCTCAGCTTGGATCTACTTAAAACACATTAGAGAAATAAAAAATATAATTAGTGAAAAAATATTCAGGAAAATTTACTGGAGATGATGAAACAATAGGAATTTAAGGCATTAGCCATAATTTTAAATATTAAAAATATATTTTGTGATTAAAATATTGAAAATATTTTGATTTGAATACATCACAAAAGCAATTAAGCTAATTACACACATTTTCTCTTTTTCTCTCTGTTTTATTAATATGTCACATTTCTGCTCATTTATCTTTTTTTTGTATTTTTTTTTCGTAACACAAATCTTATCCTAATGAGAATTTAAAATCAGGAGTCTATGTGACATAGAATTTCACCTATACATTATCTTAAAAACATGGGTTTGGGCAGGATCATTCTGAAAAATTTCTACGAAAGTATTTCACACAGTGAGGTTTGAAGGTTTATAAATTCTGTGGTCATGTCATCAGGGTGATATTTTGAGAACAGCAAACACAGTGTGTGTATGTGTGTCTGTGTGTGTGTGTGTGTGTGTGTGTGTGTATCTACTTCGTCATTGATAAAATTAGGTAGCGGCTATTTTACAGATATATCATAATTGAAAAATAGGACTAGATAAATAAATAATAGGTGATAGAGTAGAGATAGAGATAGGATTGAAAATCCATCTTGCACAAGCTGCTTGTAGAAAAGCCCTGGCTACTTGGGGTCTCTGAGTGCTTGGATAACTGAATATCACTACTGTCTCTTATAGATCTTTTACCTTCTTAAGGGAAAGTAAGCTAATGGCTTTCTACTGTTGTATTATAGGTAATTTTATGAGAGTAGGCTTGCACTGGCTTTCATCCTTGAATGAAGTCCCCCTTCATAGCTCTTCACGTTGAATTCTTGCCCTAACATTACCATCTCAGATGCCAGCCCTGCCATGAAGTCTTTGCTGATGCTTCAGACATTTAAGACACCTGTATATTTCCACAGCATTTTGTTTGTATTTTTGAGTGATTTGTCATGTCCTTTTTACAAAAAAAATTTGGATGTGTTTCTTTTCTATTCCTTCCCTCCCTAGAAACATTTTGTGGGAAAAATTGCACATTAACAGACTCTTGATAAAACATTTGTTGAGTTGCATTGCATTGACTTGAATTTGTAGACAATTTTTAAGTGGAATGGCTAACAGAACCTTTCTAAAAGTCCATCCATCTGTTCTATTGATAGTTGTTATGTATTATTAGAAAGATTTCTAATTCTAGGTATATGTATGCAAGTATAAATGAACTAATTTTTCATGTATTAGAATTACTAATTTTTCATTAGTTTTTTTAATGACATTTATCAAACACATTATGGTAAAATTTTCATAATAGCAAGTGGTTAGCAGTATTCAGTTGCACTCTTTGCAACTACCATATTTTAAATAGTTTAATGACAGGAAGGGACAAATCTTTCAAGTATTTTTATCAGCTTATTTATCAGTATTCTTGTTTGCTTTGAGGTGAAAACACTAAATAATATAAAAATCAATGTATAGGCAGTATAAATGTTACCATCATCATTGTGACTGACCAAAGTGTATAATACTTTAAACATAATAGCAATATGCTGAAAATTAAAGCAATTTTATTGATTTTTATTTCTAGCTTTTAACGCATCACTGGTCCTCTTCCTTTCACGAGTCAATTTCCTTTACTGCTCTTGCTCATTCACAATAAATATTTACTATCCAAGTTCTGTTACCACCACTAATAATTACAATATGTGTGAATATCCTGATGCTTAGCCATAATGATACCACTACAGTCAATGCTCATCGAACTACCATTTGTGGGAAACTGCCTTATACTTTGCTTTCCAAAAGCCATTTTTGGTACTGTCCTCTGATTGAGAGTCCATGCTTCACTCAAACAGAAGTCTATCTTGAAATTCTGGTCCATTACATAATTTTCAGAAGCTGGGAGAAAGGCATTTGCATCATTTCTGTTCCCAGATCTGTTCAATATATACTTCCAGTCTGTCATGCCTGAAATTAATTTTTTTTACAATCTGGATCTTTACTATATGCTAAAAATTCAGTACAAAAAAGGACCTCCTTCTGCAGAGAATATGTAAGCCAGAACATCGTGTTCCATCTTTATAATGAAACACATAGTTCCAATCAAAAGGCAAATTTGTTTCAAAATGTTTAAAGAGAATAATGCTTTAAAGGATTTCAAATGGTTACTTTGTAAAAGTGAGAAGATTTCTATTTTGCTATATATTTTGACCTGGATCATGTAATTTGTATGTAAACTACACAACTTTTTATTTATTTTAAGCTATTTACCCCTTTGTGTTTCATGCTTCTGAGATTGGAAAACAAATGTGAATAATATTAGAAATAGTTTCTCTCAAAACACATTCAATTGTATGACCATTAAAAATGTAAATTGTGAGTATTTATCAACAAGTTCTAAGCAAATGATAATATACAGTTTAGACTCTTGAGTCAAGAAGCTTATCATTACCACAATTTAAAATTTTGTTTCTCCAAAACTAGAAAATTACTCTTCTTTATTTTGTAAACTTTTCAAAGTAGAATGACCCTAAAAACTAAATTTCAAATATTAGAAAAAGAAAATATGATAGCATTAAAAACAAAACAAAGAAAAACCCTTTGTTGGATCTTGGGAATATTACTCACCTCTGAAATTATATTCATTCCTCTGTAAAATGGGAATAGGCACATGTGAAGACTAAATGAAGTAATGCATATAATGGCAATAATACAGAACCTGAATTAGATTTCTCTTCTCCTCTTATGTCTCCTCTTCCTCCCCTGCGGCTTCACCTACCCTCCACCTCCCCTTCTTTATCTCTTTTTCTCATTTTCTTAGGTTGGGGCAAAAATATTTCCTTTCTCCTATTTCTTCTTCCTCTTTAATTCCAAAATGAGGCTTTTGTTAACATAGCATTTTACTTAGATCCAAGGTTCAAACTGAGACCTCTATCACATCAAAATCATACTTTTCTGTAACTTTTTAATTTCCCCTGGAAGTTCTATTGATTTTTGCATAATGAACCTGTCACAGACACATAATGAGATTAAACAAATTTTCAACTTCTGACAAATACTATGTTTCTAAAAACGTTTGCCTTATGCTTTTGGATACTATATTGTTTGGTACATGAATATTTGTTAATGTTTGGCTTTTATTAACATTTTTAAAAACTAGTAAATAATGGACTAGCTTATGTAGTGATTAATTTCTGATTTGTTTGATATTAATAATACTCATGATGACTTCACACAAAGTTTATTAATAAGTCTTTGTCATTCTCTTTTTAACTTTCTGCATTTCATTTGCTCTAGGTTCATGTCTTACATCTAGCTAGTATTTTTTTCACTTCAATCTGCGATTTTAACTCATTGTTTACATAGTATTTCCATCTATTTTTCTATAAGACGTTCTCGTTCTCATCTAATGAACACTTTTATTAGTTAGACTTAACTTATAGTTGCATTTTTACCCTAGTTTTGATGTTTACATTGTGTTGAATGATTTAAGAGGCATTGCACAAATATTCTTATTCCACGCTTATATATATTGGTCTAAACTGTCATAGAGTGTAAAAAGTATTCGGCTTTTGCCCAAACGTTCTCCATTCTCTTCTAATTTTTTACTAACTTTGTCTGCATCTTTAACAATAACTTTTTGTTTTCTTTTTGTATTTTGATTACGGTTGTTGTTCCCATTTATTGTTGGAGGTAAGTCTGCTTGAATTGCTTAATCAATCAAAATCCACTTATCTGATATCGATAGGCATCACAAACTAATCACAAAGGGGCAGTACTTAAATCATTTGGCTGCCTATGACTGAAAATAAAATTCATAGTGATTTAGCTAAACAGAAAGTTTATTTTTGTCACTTCACAAAATTCTGCAGGTGAGAAGTCCAGGGCTTTTACAGTAGCTTTTGAAATAATATTTAAGACTTACTCTCTTTAACCTCTTCACTCAGCTGATTTTAACATGAACACTTGCCATTGTGCTTGCCATTCCATGCTTGTAAGATGGTTAGCCACCACCAGCTTTGTATCTGAGTTCTGGGGAAGAAGAATACGAAAGCCAAAGACAAAGGCCATGAACCTCTAATGTCTTCCCTTTAAAAAGCTTTATCCAAAGCCCCATCTGGAAAATCCAAGTTACATTTCATTGTGCCAGAACCTTGTCAAATGACTATTTTTATCCACAAGAAAGGATAAGGAATATTATATTTCAACTGGAAACATTGTTGCCCCATACAAAATTAGGTTTCTATTATAACCATAAAGTTGTAGAGAATAGACATTGCATAGGCAAGTAGCAAAGTCTTCCAAGAGAGCTAATCCTTATGTTAGTGTTATATGATTCTAACCCCCAATCTACCCAACCTTTGGCTACTAATGATTGGTTGTGTGGTAGACCCTTAACTTTGGGTCAAACAGATTTCTGTGAGTCAATCAGGAACTATGACTCAAAGATGAAATCCGAATTGTGTGTTGAAATTCAGAACCAACATTGGGCACTCAGTGTCTACCATGTGCATACTGAAATAGGGATAGCCTGGGGAGAGAAAAGAAAAAAGAAAATAAAATTGCACTACAGAAGTATTAGTATTAAAATACCATGTAGCCTAAGAAAGATAAAGAAAAAATTCCCTTCTTGTTTCTTCAACACATTACCCTTTTTGGCCCAGCTAGTGTGATAGCGATTCTGTTTCTCAATTTAGGCATATAGGATAACATAGCATCTTTCTCTCTTGGTGGTTTTTGTTTAGTTTTGTTTTGTTACTTCTGTTTAGACACAATTCAAACTCTGTGGAAGCAGGCGCACATATTTCTGTTCAACATTGTATTTACTCTGCCTAGCAGAGCATCTAATAGATAAGTATTTGTTTAATAAATGAGGCTTTATGTAAACTAAGGATCTCTAATTCTTTTTTTTCTCTTATCTTTTATTTTGTCATTGGTTTCACTGGAAATTCCAGTTTTCTTTCTACAGAAGCATTCCCTTTTAAGAGTTACTTTTGTTTAATGATTTCTGGACAGTGCCATTAATGATCCTGTAGGAACAGTTTATTTTGGTGTGCAAGTTTTCAGAAAGTAAACTCAAATGATAAAATCTTTCTTTTGTGTTCATATAGGAGGAGATAAATAATAGGTAGTATCTCTCTTCACCAATTGAGAAATAATATGTGGAAAAAGACAGAGAAGGCAACCAAAATACCAATTCTTCCTTTATAGAGGAATTGGCTTATATCTGTGTTATAGTGTACTTCCTAAATGTTGAATTTCAGAATTAGGCATACTCACCCACCCAGCGACTCTGAAACAAGAATGAAAGAGTGAATTATATTATATCGTCCTTATGAGTTAAAGTTCAAAGAAATTGAAGTAAGCACACTCAGTCAGAAGGACTCTCCCATTAAAAGGTTAATTTTGGCCCTATGCATTCAGCATGTGGCAGGGACTAAAATCCATTTATGCAAAATGTCTCATCTTGCAAAAAATTCAATTTGAGCCATCATTAGATTCTTCCATACATTTCTAAATTTGCCTTTATGGCATCTCCATTGTGAAGTCTTTTATAAAGTTCTTCCTTTTCTGCATAGTCTATTCCAAACACCTGAATTCCCATTTTCTCCTTGGTTTTGTGTTTTTGCATTGTAGAATTGAATTGAATGACTTTTGAGTCACAAAGCCCACACTCTCTTTATGAGCAAGCATTTCCATGTTTCTGGCACTATGACTGTTTTCACTGCCTCTTGTTACAGAATTGTTTGGGTCTAAGAAATTTACCTATGAAGGAAGTTTTCCTCTTCATACATAATTAACCAATCTGGAACCAATGTGTAATTGTATAGTAGAAGACAATTATTAAGTCTTATTCAAAAACTATATTAATTTGAGATTACTCCCCTCATCTTCTCATTCCTGGTACTGAATGCAATATGGATTTTGAGTTAGCTGATCTAGCACTGTCTGTACAGGGATAAAGCTTATAATTTAAATTAGAATCTCACTAGGGTACATGAAACTCATTTGTTTTTTTTCAGTTTAAAAGAAGTTGTATTGTTCTTAGCCATTGCCATAAAGACTCTTCCAGCTCACCCTCCATGATCCTCTTTCTGTCCCCAGTAAATATTTGCTTCAGCTGCTTCTGCTTGGATGTGAGCTGGGGAATGGAGTGTTAGGCAAATAGAACTCAGCCCTGTAGAAGAGAAAAGAAGCTCTTCCCTACCCTCCCTCCATGTATATGAGTGACAATTTGATTTTGCATGACATTAATGTATTACTGTTTTGCTGTAAGCATTCTGAGACCAGCTCCTCATCATATTCTGGCATTGATTTTATCATAACTTTAGGTTTGGTTCAGATGTAAATTTAGTTGCTATGTCTCTCAAGTCTTTTAAAATCTACTCTCTACTCTTCTTTTTTCCCCTCCAATTGACCTGTTGAAGAAACTGAATTACTTCTCTTGCAGAATTTCTCACAATCAGGTTTTTCTTACTGCATTCTTATGGCATATGTTCCTCTGTACCCAGCACACTAAAAATTAGATAGCACAAGCCTGATATGGTTTGGCTGTGTCCCCACCCAAATCTCATCTTGAACTGTAGCTCCCATAATACCCATGTGTCATGGGAGGGACCCAGTGGGAAGGACCCAGTGGGAGGCAATTGAATCATGGGGGCAGGTTTTCCCCAAGTGTTCTCATGACAGTGAATAAGTGTCACAAGATCTCATGGTTTTATAAATGGCGAAGTTCTCCTGCACTTCTTTCTGCCATCAAGTGAAGAAGGATGTGTTTGCTCCCCCTTCCACCATGATTGTAAGTTTCCAAAGACCTCCCCAGCCATGCTGAACTGTGAATCAAACCTCTTTCCTTTATAAATTACTCAGCCTCCTTTATCAGCAATGTGAGAAGACTAATACAGTACATTGGTATGGTGTAGTGGAGTGCTGCTGTAAAGATAGCCAATAATGTGGAAGTTACTTAGGAAGTGGGTAACAGGCAGAGGTTGGAACAGTTTGGAGGACTCAGAAGAAGATAGGAAAATGTGGGAAGGTTTGGAACTTCCTAGAGACTTGTTGAATGGCTTTGACCAAAATACTGATAGTGATATGGATAGTAAAGTCCAGGCTGAGGTGGTCTCAGATAGAGATGAGGAACTTGTTGAGAACTGGAGTAAAAATCACTCTTGCTGTGCAAAGAGACTGGCAGCATTTTGCCCCTGCCCTAGAGATCTGTGGAACTTTGAACTTGAGAGAGATGATTTAGGGTATCTGGGGGAAGAAATTTCTAAGTGGCAAAGCATTCAAGAGGAAACACAGCATAAAAGTTTGAAAAATTTGCAACTTGACAATGCAGTGGAAAACAAAAAATGATTTTCTGGGGGGATATTTTGGCCAGCAGCAGAAATTTGCATAAGCAATGAGGAGTCAAATGCGAATTGCCAAGACACCGGGGAAAATGTCTCCAGGGCATGTCAGAGACCTTCACAGCAGCCCGTCCCATCACAGGCCCAGATCCCTAGGGTGAAAAAATGGTCTCCTGGGCTAGGTCCAGGGCTCCCCTGCTGTGTGCAGCCTTGGGACTTGGTGACCTGCATTCCATCCACCCCAGCCATGGCTAAAAGGGGCCAATGTACAGCTTAGGCCTTTGCTTCAGAGGGTGAAAGCCCCAAGCCTTGGCAGCTTCCATGTGGTATTGGTCCTGCAGGTGCATAGAAGACAAGAATTAAGGTTTGGGAACCTTTGCCTAGATTTCAGAGGATGTATGGAAACACCTGGTTGTCCAGGCAGAGGTGTGCTGGAGGGTCAGAGCCCTAAAGGAGAACCTCTGATAGGGTGGTACAGCAGGGAAATGTGAGGTTGGAGCCCCCCACACAGAGTCCCCACTGGGGCCCTGCCTAGAAGAGGTGTGAGAAGAGGACCATTGTCCTCCAGACCCCGGAATGGTAGATCCACTGACAGCTTGTACCGTGTACCTGGAAAAGCTGCAGACACTCAACACCAGCCTGTGAATGCAGTCTGGACAGGGGGCTGTACCCTGTAAAGCCACAGGATGGAGCTGTCCAAGGCCCTGGGAACTCATTTCTTGTGTCTGCTTGACTTGGATGTGAGACATGGAGTCAAAGGATTTCATTTTGGAACTTTAAAGTTTAATGACTGCCCTATTGGATTTTGGACTTGCATGGGGCCTGTAGTCCCTTGGTTTTGACCAATTTTTCCCATTTGGAACTGGTGTATTTACCCAATGTCCAGCCCCCATTGTATCTAGGAAGTAACCAACTTTTTTTAAATTTTTTATCTTACAGGTTCATATGTGGAAGGGACTTGCCTTGTACCAGATAAGACTTTGGACTGTGGGCTTTTGAGTAAATGCTGAAATGAGTTAAGACTTTGAGAGATTGCTGAGAAGGCATGATTGGTTTTGAAATGTGAAGACATGAGATATGGGAGGAGCCAAGGGATGAATAATATGGTTTGGCTGTGTTCCCACCCAAATCTCATCTTGAAATGTAGCTCCCATAAGCCCCATGTGTTGTAGAAGGGACCCAGTGGGAGGTAAGTGATTCATGGGGGTGGCTTTTTCCCATGGTCTTCTTGTGATAGCGAATACATTTCATAAGATCTGATGGTTTTCTAAAGGACAGTTCCCCTTCACTTCTCCTTCCTGTTGTCATGTGAAGGACATGTTTGCTTCCCCTTCCACCGTGATTGTAAGTTTCCTAAGGCCTCCCCAGCCATGCTGAACTGTGAGTCAATTAAACCTCTTTTGTTTATGTTACCCAGTCTAAGGTATGCCTTTGTTAGCAGCATAAGAACAGACTAATAGGTTCAATCAGAGTGAACTTTGTTTTCAACAAGAATTCTCCATAGCTGGTATTGTGTACTTCCTTCATGAGGCATACAATTTCTGGGTATCTCAATGTGTGATGTTGATTAGCGCTGGTAATCATTGCCCAGTAATGTAGTTTCATTAGGCATTTAAAAAACGGTGATATTCTTCCATGTCTACCATTTTTCCCTCTTTTTTTAAGCTCAGAAAATTAATGATCTTCTCTCCATTTTGCATGTTGCTTAATTTTATTTCCTGTTTCATTGAGTGGTCGTTCGAGTCATTGATTTTCACTACTTAGTTATTTTCATTGATGACTTAGATTTTTCTTTAACAAGGTTTAATTGGTTCAGTTTTTGTTTTGCAGCTACTATGCTTTATTTTCTTCTGTATAAAAGAATACCAGCTGTTTTCAAAATCTACTTTTGTGTGATTGTTCTGTATCAGGAATAGCACAGGCATTTTTTTTTCTCCCAATTATTTTTTCTGGTTCTTTAAAATTTTACTAAGTCAAGTTATTATTATTGTTCTTCCTCTCTTCTTGTGATTCTTTGGCTAATCTCTAGAGATCTAGTCTAATGGTAGACAGATTTGAGATTTTGTGACAAGTGCTAGGTTTATGGCTCTCTTTGGTGTTGGAGAAAATTCCACTGGTGCCATTCACTGCGAAAGAAAAATTTTCAAGATTCAACTACAAACTCAAGGAATGGCTTAGTGATGTGACAAAGGAAACTGTCTGTTGTATTTCTGTGATGCTGAAACTTTCATTCTTATGTGAGAGCATTATACCAATAGCAAGATTTTCAACATGAAGTATCACATGGAGTTAGAATTAGGGAGCACGCTATCTTGGGGAGATACTTCCATTCCTCTTCTCATAATCTGCATAGTAAAGAATGCTCTATTTAATAGCAGGGTAGATCTTCCGTATTTGAAAACAAGGAGTATGTCAGCTGGAGATGAGCATTTCACTCCTGCTTTCCTCTTAAATTCTCCAAATTGAGTTTAGGGTTCAGGCGGATTTTTGCATCTGTTTTCTTTTTCTAGCCCTGAAATTATTAGACATATTAGGGGCTGGAATGTTCAGGCTATCCTCAACATAATATTTCCTATACTGCACACATTAAATTGATTTTACTGAGCCAATTTCTCTGAATTCAAGTTGTATCTGCCGTAGTACCTTTCATTCCTCCCCTTGTTAGAACAACAACTTCTGGCAGCATGCCTCTCCAGAAAGACTGCCTAGGGCCGCTTGACAGAAGACACCATTCCTAGGTTTTAACTCATTAGGTGACAGACTGTAGAAATTATTGTAAGAATTGAGAATTTATTTGGTTCTCTCATTCTTCTAAGCAACAGTTGAGAATTGTTTTTCTTTTTAGGATATCTTTTCATGGATATATTACAGAGAAATAAGAAAAGATAAATTTAGTTATATTTGTATCTTCTAAAAAGACCATTATATTTATTTATAAAAATGTATTCATTTATTAATACACATCCATTATAATTACTTTACTTTAACATAAGTATGCAGAATGCCTAGTAGTACAATATTACTTTTTGTATTCTCCACCTTAGTTTGGTAACATGACCCCTTTTTAGTCAATCATACAAGAAAATGACTTTGTCCTGAACCAAGGCAGGCTGCTGCTTTGAGAGGTCCCAAAGAACAGCAGGGGTTTTATAACATCAAGATAGTTCTTTCTGTGATAAATTTTACCTCTTTTGTTCAGGGCATGCATCAGAATTATCAACAAATAGTTAATTGGAAACAGTGCCTAGAATACAATTTTGAATATCATCCTTATTTTGTACAAAATATGGTTCTGTCATTTCCCACCCAGTTGAACTTGAGATTTTCATTTTGATGTTGAGAAAAAGAAAATTACAAGTAATAAAGTGATCAAAAGGCCATCTTCAGTGTAAGATTAATGCTGAGACTAGTATATTTACCATACAATTGTATAAGTAGAAGGTTTTTTATTTTTCTTTTTCTTTCTTCCTTTTTTGTAAGAAAGGAGTTTTAACTCTACATTTTGTGTTCACTCCTCACTTAAAGTAAAATTGGGTTAGAAAAGAGAAATGTGTGAAAGCCGTATTTGGAGTTGCTTTGTATAATTAATGAGTCATCATCTCCCTCAAGCAGAGAATCAGGAAGCTAACCTTTGCTGACTGTGATTATTAGTCTGAGAACCTCTACATTCTGACTTGCTATTTTCTCATCCTTAAGATTGCAATCTTTACTACTGTTCATATCATAAATGCTGAACCCAAAGGATTAGGCCCTAACCTAAAGGATTTCAACACCAATCTCTTCCAGAACTGAAGGTCTCTAAAGAGAAATTAGAGCATTCTTTTCCAAATGCTACTAACCTCTGCTGGCTGAGTTACTGGACTAACTTATTAATGTTTAACCTCTCAGTCATAAAATGTTGGTAATAACAATTTTATTTAGTCAAAGTGTCACATTGAATTTTATGGGAATGAACTTATTTTTCAGTGCCAATAACAAAGAAGTCAAATTAGGTAAATTTCTTTATGAGTGAAGAAAACATAATATGTGATTCCCTCTTATTTTTTTCCCCCTAGGCTGGAGTGCAGTGGTGGGATCTCACCTCACTGCAACCTCCACCTGCCGGGTTCAAATGATTCTCATGCCTTAACCTCCCGAGTAGCTGGGATTACAGGTATGTGCTAGTATGTCTGGATAGTTTTTGCATTTTTAGTAGAGATGGAGTTTCGCCATGTTGGCCAGGCTGGTCTTGAACTCTTGGCCTCAAGTGATCTATATCTACCTGCCTCAGCCTCCCAAAGTGGTGATTCCTAACTTTTTTTTTTTTTTTTTTTGAGATGGAGTCTCGCTCTTTCGTCCAGGCTGGAGTGCAGTGGCGCAATCTCAGCTCCCTGTAACCTCCACCTCCCGGGTTCAAGCAATTCTCCTGCCTCAGCCTCCCAAGCAGCTGGGACTACAGGTGCACACCACCATGCCCAGCTGATTTTTGTATTTTTAGTAGAGACAGGGTTTCACCATGTTAGCCAGGATGGTCTTGATCTCTTGACCTTGTGATCTACCCACCTCAGCCTCCCAAAGTGCTGGGACTACAGGTATGAGCCACCATGCCCAGCTGATTCCTAATTTTTAAAACAATAGTATCTCCTTGAGTATCACATCATGTGTGTTGTTTACTAGTTCAAGTAACTTTTCAGCTGCCTTCTCTTTTGTGTTTTGTACTTTTTCTCAATCATTAGAGTTCTCTCACTATCTTTACTTCACACACACTATTAAATGATTGATGAATATAATAATCTAATCTACAGAATGTCTCTCCAATTACTTTGTCACTTGTTACATTGTCAAATGTGCAACATATTTAATTAGCAAAAATACTACTTCTTTACTGATATGGATGCCCTTATTTCTTTCTCTCATCTGATTGCTCTGGCTAGGAATTCCAATAGTATGCTGAATAGAAATGGTGAAAGAAGATATCCTTGTCTTGTTCTAGATCTCAGTGGGAAAACGTCAACATTTCCCCATTCAGTATTAATGTTGGCTGTGTGTCTGTCATAGATAGCTTTTATTACCATGAGGTATGTCCCTTCTATGCCGATCTTGCTGCGGTTTTAATCATAAAGCGATGCTGAATTTTGTCAAATGCTTTTTCTGCATCTATTGAGATAAGCATATGACTTGTGTTTTTAATCCTGTTTATGTGATGTTTCACCCTTATTGACTTGTATCTGTTAAACCATCCCTGCATCCCCGGTATGAAACCCCCTTGATCATGGTGTATTATCATTTTGATATGCTGTTGGATTCACTTAGCTAGTATTTTGTTGAGGATTTTTGCATCTATGTTCATCAGGAATTGCCGATGATATGACTGCATACCTAGAAAACCATAAAGACTCATCTAAAAAGCTCCTGGATTTGATAAATTAATTCAGTAAAGTTTCAAGATACAAAATCAATGTACACAAATCAGTAGCACTGCTATACACCAACAATAACCAAGCTAAGAATCAACAACAGCTGCAAAAAACTAAAATGAAATGGTTAACAGTATACCTAACCAAGGAGATGAATGATCGCTACAGGGAAAACTATAAAACACTGCTGAAAGAAATCATAGATGACACAAACAAATGAAAACACCATCCCATGTTCAGGAAGGGGTAGAATCAATATTGTGAAAGTGACCATACTGCCAAAAGCAATCTACAAATTCAATGTAATTCCAATAAAAATACCATCATCATTCTTCACAGAACTAGGAAAAACAATCCTAAAATTCACATGGACCCAAAAAAGAGCCCACATAGCAAAAGCAAGACTCAGCATAAAGAAGAAATCTGGAGGCATCACATTACAAAACTTCAAACTATACTACAAGGTCGTAGTTACCAAAACAGCATGGTACTAATATAAAAATAAACAGTAGGCCAATGGAACTGAATGGAGAACCCAGAAATATAGCCAAATATTTAAACAAACAAAAATATAAAATGGGAAAAAAGTACCCTATGCAACAAATGATACTGGGATAATTGGCAAGCCACAGGTAGAAGAATGAAGCTGGATCCTCACCTTTATATTTCACCTTATATAAAAATCAACTCAAGATGGATCAAAGACTTAAGTCTAAGACCCGAAACCATAAAAATTTTAGGTAATAACACTAAAAAACTCTTCTAGACATTGGCTTAGACGAAGACTTCATGAGCGACAACCCAAAAGCAAATGCAAGAAAAACAAAGATAAATAAATGGGACCTAATTAAACTAAAAAGCTTCTGCACAACCAAAGAAATAATCAGCAGAGTAATCAGACAATCCACAGAGTGGGAGAAAATATTTGCAAACTATGGATCTGACAAAACTGACATCCAGAATCTACAAGGAACTCAAATCAGAAAGAAAACCCCAAAGAAGGCTATCAAAAAATGGGCAAAGGACATGAATAGACAATTCTCAAAAGAAGATATACAAATGACAAAAAAACCATATGAAGAAATGCTCAACATCACTAATTATCAGGGAAATGCATAGCAAAACCACAATGAGATACCATCTTACTCCTGAAAGAATGGCCATAATTAAAAAATGAAAAAATAACAGATGTTGGCATGGATGTGGTGAAAAGAGAACACTTTTACACTGCTGGTGGGAATGGAAACTAGTACAACCACTATGGAAAACAGTATAAAGATTCCTTAAACAACTAAAAGCAGAACTACCATTTGATCCAACAGTCCCACTACTGGGTATCTACTCAGAGGAAAAGAAGTCATTATATGAAAAAGACACTTGCACATGCATGTGTATAGCAGCAGAATTCATAATTATAAAAATATGGAACCAGCTTAAATGCCCATTGACCAACAAGTGGATAAAGAAAATGTGGTATATATGGACCATGGAATACTACTCAGCTAGAAAAAGGAATGAAATAATGGCATTTGTTACAACCTGGATGGAGTTGGAAACGTTATTTTCAGTGAAGTAACTCAGGAACAGAAAACCAAACATTGTATGTTCTCACTTATTAGTGGGAGCTAAGCTATGAGGACACAAAGGCATAAGAATGATATAATGAGCTTTGGGAACTTAGGGGGAAGGATAGAGGTGGGTGAGGGATAAAAGGCTACACATTGGGTACAGTATACACTGCTCTGGTGATGAGTGCACCAAAATCTCAGAAATCACCAATAAATAACTTTCCTGTGCAACCACGCACCATCTTTTTCACCCAAAATCATTTAAAAAAATACTACTAACACTAAATTGAACTTGTTTCATTTGTTGGGATGACATTAAAAACTCCCTAACTCTTGACTCCTGTGGTATTACTCTGTGACTTCAGAGTAACCTCCCACTTGCCTGAACTTTAGCATTTACAAAATTTCTCCTATTTTTTCTGCCACTATCTTCTTCTACACTACTTGTACCATTTTTTATTACAGTTATCCATTTCAACAACAAAAGTGATTATGTCACTCCCTTCCTTAAAAGCTTTGACTTCCTTTTGCATATTAGTTTTCCTTAGTTTGATGTAGAATCAATCCGCTTCAAACTTTGATTTGGTAGATAGGCAAATAGTCTCATCTGCAGTCTGAGTGATCCTCCTGTACTTTCAATAAGAGAGAAACACAGAACCAGGTAAAATTATGGTTTTGCATCTCTGGCAGGAGCAGAGGTTAACACATTTAAATGTCAGCTGCAGTGTTATCGTTCCAGAAAAGTTGATAAAGACAGATTCAAATAGGAAGCCCAAAAACCAGATAGTTTAGGCGGAAAGCCTCAGATGTCACCACATCTGAGAAAAGATCGTTCAAAGCAGTGTCAAGTCTTAAATGGTTCAGTGGCCAAGGTAACCCATGGCAATGAGTCCAACAGGTAAATCTGTGGGAGCAAATCTGGCAGTATTATCATCTTAAGTCTGCTAGTAACATTTTTATACAATTCAAATGTACTCAGAGGAATAGTAAGCTGACAGAGTATACAAAATGTTTAAAAGACCAATAGTGAGTGTAAAATTATCTCTTGCATTTGTGTTAAATCAAATTGTATTGCTATAACAAGCAACCCCAAGTTCCTGGTGACTTATAACAGTAAACATGTATTCCTTGCTTATAAGCCTGCAAGTTAGCACTGCTTTACTGTGCATGTCTTCTCATCCCAGGATCCAGGTTGAAAAAGTAGCACCAATCTGGGACATGCTTTTCCCCTGGCAGAACAAAGAAGCACCTATCCAAACTGTGCAAACACATTTAAAGCTTTTGTCCAGTGTATGTCACATCTAAGAGCAAAAGCAAGTCACATGGCTCAGCATGGCAATGAAACAGAAAATAATCTACCTATTGAGAGGCACGGTAAGAGTGGGCGTGAATTATACTCTTAGAGGGGAGATAGTGAATAATTAGGAACAACAACATCTACTATAAATATCAAATATACTATACCTTGTGCTTATTTTCTACCTATCATTCAGAATTAATCATTTTAGTATAGTCAGCCTTACCTTCAGGTAATTTGAATATTTGGTATCACAGGAACTCAGGCTGTGTATGATATCAGGTAATCAGCTATAGGAGAATGAATTAAGACTTCTAAGCAATGCGTATTTATTTTTATAATCATTTGTGTGTATTGATTACATCTTTACTTGGATTACTGGAGCATAATCTAAACTTTTCAGACATTAATATACCATTATAAGGCATTTTCTTGTATCTGTTTTGACTATTGCCCTGATTCATGCTTCTTCATTTTTCTGATACTAAAGTGGATTTAAATACCATGCATCACTCCTCTTTCTCTATATGCAAGGTTGCCAGTGGGTAGACTTGGTGGATACAACACATAACGATCAATATTTTGTTTCTATATAATATTTTAGGAAACTAATTTAGAAAAATAATATTTAAAAAATTTCGTTGTATTTCTTTGTTAAGTGAATGTCATACTTTAAACATATTTTATGCAATGATCTATGTAAACATTATGATAGTAATTTATCATGAATAATATTATGAGCACAGATTTAAGGCAATGCTATTATACCATATCCGAAGTCTCAAAATAAGCACATTACATTTAGATTCAGGGTGGACTGCCAATTTAGACTTGGAGGAAACTCTAAAGATTCTGAAGAATTTAATAAAGTTTCATGGGTATCTATTAGATACTTGACTTTACTTTCAAGTCTAGGCATTCATACAGAATAAATTAAATAGAAATTGGACAATCTGAGCTTCGGATAGTACAATTTTACATGAGACATACCTCTGAGTGGGTTAGAATAAGGCTCTATAATGAGCACATTTGAACAAAAATATAAGGGATAATTGTTCAATAAAGGACTTGCATAAAATCATGAGAAATGAAATCTTTCTTTTACCCTAATTTGCAATTTGTTTCCTGTAAAATTTGTCTCTCTTTTTTAGTCCTGTTATCATTGCTATGCTGATTTTAGAAATCATAAAATAATGATAACATGTACATGAGAAAAACTGCTGTAACAACATTTAGTTCATATATCAGGAAGGTGAAATTTGGAGAAGTGTTTTACTTTTCCATTTATAAAGAAGAATCTCAGGATAGAGGTTTTTTTTAGTTAATTTATGTAATCATCTAGTTTGTGGATTATTCGTTTAATTTGCTAATTTCCTACAGACTGAATTAAATCTATTCATTGTGTTGTTAATTGGGCAGAAATATAAAAAGAAATATTTCATCTATTCATTTTGCTACAGGATAATTGTGCTATAAAATTTCATAATAAATTGATTATTGGAATTCTTAGATGAGATAATATTCCTGTAGAAAGGGAAGATTTCATTTCACTTGATTTCCTTTTGCTGACTCTATGTGTGTCCTCCATGGTAATTTTACTACTTTTTTTTATTGTTTGTTTTCAGGATACATAATAATCTTAACATACATAAGCCTCCAAATTTTGCACTAGTTATTACTATTTACTTATGGTATTTTTGGAAAGGTGAGAAGACAAGATTTGTGATTAAGTATTAAAAAACATAGTAAATAAATATTTATGAAGTATTTAATAATCAGCAAGATAGCGAGTTAAATATAGGACCTATTGATTATGTGGCAAGTGTAGAAAAAGACACTGGCAGACAGACCACTTATAGGCTCTTTAAACTGCCACACCCATCCCTCCCACCCTCACTCCCTTAAAAGGCAAGTTTACTTCCTTAGTCAGTAAAGTACTCTCTGTACTAATGGTAGGGAGGAGAAAATTTAAGTATTTAGCCACCTAAAAAAGATGAAAATAAAATCTAGAGAAATACACATATATGTGTGTGTGTGTGTGTATACATACACACACACACACACACATATATATATAGAGAGAGAGTATACACATACAAGGAGTGAAGAAGTTAGAGGAGCTTGGCAGAAGAGAGGAAAGAAAATTGATTATAAAACTCCAGAGCTTGATGGTGGCATATCAAAGGAATACAAGAGCCAACCTGAAAGATCTACAGGCCAAACCTGGAAGTTTGAGCAACAAATAATGGTATTATCTTTCACTGCTGTAACAAATTGCCACAAACCAGAAGACTTAACAAAAATTTATTCACTACCAGTCCTGAAGCTTAGCAGTCTGAAATCAAGGGGTTGGTTGGGTAACGTTCTCTTTCAAGGCTCTTGGGGAGAAGCCTTTGTGGCTTCTTCCTAGCTTCTGATTGTTGCCAGCCTTCCTTGGCTTGTAGACTAATCATTCCAATCTCACCCTCTGTCTTTACATGGCATTGCATTCTCCCCTATGGGTGTGTCAATGTCTATTTCTAAATTTTCTTCTTCTTAAAAGAAAGGACATCAGAAATACTGGATTTAGGGCCCATTCTAATCCAGTATGACCTCACCTTAACTTGATTAAATCTGCAAAGACCCTATTTCCAAATGATGTCACATTCATAGGTTCTGTGTGGACATAAATATTTGGGGGTACTAGTTAATTCAGTACAATATTAGGTTACAACCTAAAGCATAAAACAGATAGGTGTGAATACATACTGATGAAGGCAAATCTTTAAATAAAATAAATATATGAGGATGAAGGGACACATCTTTCTTACAAAAGAATTCCAAATATACACATGGAGACTACCACTCTTAAAGGTGGAGCTTACTTCACCAGCGTCTCCCACCACCACAACACCTTGAGTGTTTGCTGAATTTAGTGATTTATACCCAAAGACTAGAGTATAGGAAATGAAAACACAGTAACTTTACAGTAGTAAAGCCTAGCCAACATTGCCTTGTTCAAATGATTCAGGTTAACATCACCCAGTGACAAGTCATGTGACATCACCCAGTGACAAGTCAAGTCACATGCACACCTGATATGATGTGATCAGGAAGGAAATTTACCTGTGGGTTATTCTTCTTTATAATCCTTATAATCCTTAATCCCAGTCTATGAGGAAAGTATCAGACAAGCCCACATTGAGGGATATTCTACAAAATACCTAACCCACATTGCTCAAAACTGGTAAAACATTAAAAACAAAGAAAGACTGAAAAATGACTAATGAAGACTGAGGAGGAAGACATGATGACTAAAAGCAAAGTAGTACCCTGGAATCAATCATGGAATAGAAAAAGAAAATTCATATAAAAACTGGTGAAATTCAAATGAAGCCTTGAGTTTAGTTAATAGTAAATGTACCAGTGGTGACCTCTTAGTTTCCACAAGTTTACCATGGAAATGTAAGATGTTAACGTCCAAGAGACTGGATGAGGGGGTCAGGGAAACTCTCTGTATTATCTTTGCACATTTCCAAAATCTAAAATTGTTCCAAAATAAACAGTTTATTTTAAAAAGCACCTGGCATTGTTCTAAAATAAGAAAAATATAGATAATGATTTGACATGCAAGACTTTGGGGAAAGACCTGGGCAAAGAAGTGTAAAGAAATTTGATAGCGTTGATACAACATACTGTGGCTTGTTGCCTTCTTAAGAGATTGTGGACATTAATTTATCTTTTAAATATTTTTCTTGGATTTATGTTCTTTTCAATGTAATTATTATTTTTTGAGATGGAGTCTCAGTCTGTCACCCAGGCTGGAGTGCAGTGACGTGATCTCAGCACACTGCAACCTCTGCCTCCTGGGTTCAAATGATTCTCCTGCCTCAGCCTCTTGAGTGTCTGATATTACAGGTGCGTACCACCACGTGTGGCTAATTTTTGTATTTTTTGTAGAGATGAGGTTTCACCATATTGGCCAGGCTGGTCTCAAACTCCTGATCTCAAGTGATCCACCCACCTCGGCCTCCCAAAGTGCTGGGATTACAGGTGTGAGCCACTGCACCCAGCCTCAATGTAATTCTATACTGAGATTGACCTTAAGGTGGAAGACAAAAGGCTCAGTTTTACTTAGGTTGTATATATAAAATTTAAAAACAATCCATATCTTTCATTGTATAGTTATAAGTATTGAAGAAATGCAAGCTCTCTTGTAGAAGAGTTTAAACTAAACTAGAAACACAATAAAAATTCAGAACACTATAAAATTTCCATCTGCCTTTTCTTTGGTTAATAATATGACATTCTATCTTCTATTTAATATTCTAACCTCTCCAAATGAAGATTCTTCCTGATTCCTCTGCATCTTTCTCCAGAACCCTGCTTTGTTTAAAAGAAGTGTACAAATATTGACTATCAGATTTGTGACAATCCAATATGACTATGGCTATGACTCTCAAACTTAAAAAGTGTAACCCTAGTGAGTTCTGTATTTTGATGTTAATTAAATTCTTCTTTTTGAGTCACCTGATATTCAGTTTTCTGTAATTCTTTTGATTTTCAGGCATCCAAAATTGTCAGGTGGCGTGAACTCTCTGAAACCAAATTATAGGCAAATCCAGTCAGTATTAGTAGCTAACTACCTATGAAAAGTTTTGAAGTGGAGTTTGCTTTTTTAAAAATAAAATGTACCTTTAGTTCTTGAATTAAATCCTATTTTGAAAAACTTTACAATGAATGAAAAGTAAAGCCTTCCTTTTCAACCAGTTTTCCCTAGCCTTGTGGAAATCCAACTACTGCCTAATTTTAAACCTTGTTTGTGAACACATTTGTATGAATGTTAGTTAGAGATGACTGTTTTACCTAAAGTGCTTACTTAAATATTGAAAGGGTTTTCAAAAATACACTATAAAAGTAAATTGAGAAACAAATTTAGCTTTTAGGAGGAGAAGAGAAGAATATGCGAGAACTCTTTTAATTAATACTAATATGTTCATGGCTGAATTTTCAATGTATACTTTAATTAAAACTCAATGCAAATATATTTTGATATATATATATAGTATATAATTTAAAGCCATATTTGTACAGATAGATTGGATAGAAAATGTTTAAATGTTGTTATAATTTACAAAATGTTTAGATGCATAGATAAGTAATAGAAATGATAGTTATCTTCAGGAAATTTTAGTCTTGGGTATTTAAATTATCATCACACTTTTGCCATCATCATTTAGAATTTTAGTCTACAAACAATTAAAGATCTATGAATGAAACATGTAACCAAGTGTATAATTGCGCTTGTGGTGGAATATAAATTATCAGTGGAAATTTAGTGTTCTGATGAATCCTTAGGTGGGGGAAAAAAGGAGATAAATAAATGGTGGTAGAGGAAAAGGTAATCATGAGAAGGAGGAGTAAACTAGTAAGTTGGTTTTCTGTACATATAAATCTCTGTGAAGGATGAGGTAGGGCCATGATTTTGGAAAGAGTGGGGAAGGAATAAATAGAGATAAAAACGTGAGCATAAGAGAAATAAAAGGGTACTGGGAATTTAAAAAGCAGAAAGAAGTGAAGAGCAAATTGAAGTAAGAACCATTCCAAAAGAACCACTGTCTTGAGTAATCAGTTTAAAATAACATCAGTACAATTTTATTTAACCTTTAGTTAAAAGTCATTTCCTACCACAGAACCATTTTTTGCTGGTCCCATGGGTTATCTCCTCAGATTTAATGGAATTTCTGTGTGAAATGTATGTACAACCTGTAGACTAATTTCTATGGTTACGTTTCAGTGAAGATTAAATATTTAGTTTCATCAATAATATTTGTAACCACTTTGAGAAGAAAGACCCCATTTATTTTATTATTTTTGTTTCTCCTTTAAACAATTCATAGATCCTTCATAATAATTCATGTTTCTATAGGGACATTATGATGGTTTTCAGATCTTCACGAATCATTTACTGGTATTCTGCTAGTTGTCAGGAGAGTTTTAAAAGGTATATAATTAATTTAATCCCCATTAATTACTGTAACTTCAACAGGCTTTTAAAAAATATTATGATTTAAAATGATGCTGTGATGGAAAGAATCATCAAGATTGGCTGAGGATTGGCAAAATAAGTAAGATTTTATTTAAACAACTGAAAATTGTTATCATCCATTACTATTTAGCAACAAAATGGGATATTTACTAATCATCAGTTTGACTAATTTCAATATCATTGAATATTGATATTTAATAATTAACTAACTGAAATTCCTTAAAATAATGTCTATCTGAATTAGAAAATAAAAAATATATAAATATATTTAATCTTGTTAATTTTGATATGATCAGATAATTAAGTTTTCTAAATTGATTCTTAAAGAATCATCTTTAATAAGAATGCATAAAGTTGTTTGTAAATTAATAGAAACAGTTTTGAAGTTAATGGTCCTAAAAATAGTAAGTTTTCCTAGATGTTACAACTGTCTTTTATAATTTAATGATCAAATTATTAATTTACTCAAACTATTTTTCCAACAAAATTAAAGGTAAACTTAAGCTTCTGGTTCAAATTGATCTAGTAAGTTCAAATCTGTCTGTATTTTCTTTGCCTCAGATTCTCCTTGAATTGACAGAAATGGTGAATTAAAATGAAAGAGAACATGACACTATGGAAAGAAAAAATAAAGTGTACCATTAGTGAATCAAAATTTTATAAACATTTGGGACTACTAGATGGGGGAGGGTGGCAAGCGGGCAGGGGTACTGTTAGGTACCAAGCTTACTGCCTGGGTGACAGGATCATTGGGACTCCAAGCCTCAGCATCACACAGTATACCCAGGTGACAAATCTGAACATGTACCCTTTAATCTATAATAAAAGTTGAAATTTCTGAAGTAAATAAGTTAATAAATAATAAAAACTTATGAGAATAGCATAAGTGAAATATGATTGGTAGGGAAATAAAAGAAGATGAAATTTAGCAGAAGTCATTAAGAGACCTCGAAGGTGAATCAACAAATAAAGAAGGCAGGGATAGGCGAGGGGGCAATCCAGGGTCATTTTTTAGACAGCTATTTTCCAAAGAGCTGGGACAGTAGAACTCTTCCTTTCCATACAGGTGTAAATAGAGCTATGGTTTGGTAGCAAAGGCTTTTGTTCCAGGGCTTAAGCCCAAGGACTATTCTCAAAATGAAGTGCAAGTGGGTGATCTTTATAACAAAATTATCTTTGTGAAGATGCCGGGGTCTGACAGACAAGTGGAGCACATCCTAACATGATTTTAGCCACACAAACACACACACACACACACACACACACACACACCACAAAATAAGTTTAAAATAAAAGGCAGAAGAGCACTTCTTTTGGTAGTAAAATGCACTGGACTACAGCCTGTAGGAGGCTCCTGCTCTGAAACCTGCAATTTTTCCCAGGGGCACTTCAAAGAGACTGGCTGTGAAAACATTCCCCTGACTTCCCTCACTTACACAGAACCTTCACTCAGGCTTCTCTTTCAGGTGAGAGGCCTCACGGGGAAATGGTAGTGAACAGAAGCAAACAGAATATGTGTCAGCTACCTGTGCTATTCAATATAGTTCATCATTTATAAATGTGACTACACATCCAAGAATCTTGAGAAAGTTGAGGTAAACCAACCATATGAAAGACAAAGTCTAACATGAACAACAAAACAAACCTATCCATTTGTCATTAGGGCTAAGGGAAGTGGTGTAAAAGACTTTTCAGCAGCGGGGAGAGAGATTTGATATTATTTGAACCTTTTTGGAAGGTTATTTGACTGCAATTGTGAAAATTAATTTCAGGGGAGCTAGACTATAAGAAACCATTGAGAAAGTATTTCAATGATTCAAAGGGTTTAATGATCATTAGAGAGGTGTGCTGAAAGGACATTCATGAATATAAGGGAAGTTTAAGAGGTAAACTTGGTGTGGATTAGAAGCGGGAGTGACAGAAAATCAGGAATCAAAGTGACCTACATTTTTGGCTTATCCTTTCACCATCATTCTTCTCATTTTGGAGGTCAGTGGCTTATTTTCTGACTTCCTGAGCCAAGTTATTTAGCAGGTGACTTTGTCCAATATGCTTTCTGCTGAAGCTGTGAGCAATGTACTAATGTAAAGATGGCCTTAGGTGTGTTAAATTCACAAGTATCTGATTTTGGCACCATGTAATGTCCAGTAGACCAGTTTGCATTAAGTGTCTGGATATAGTGTTCCCAGATCCCTTCATAAAGGAAGAATAACTTTAAAGTACAATAGTAACGTAAATCAAAGAAAAACTTGACTTTGTAATAGAATAATTTTGACAAGGTTTGAGACTGTTAATTTTATATACACGTGCTTGTAAGTATTTATATATATAGATCAATATATATGTAATATATAATGAATATGTATTATAAAGAAATATTTAACATCTGTTTATAATTGCTGGAAAGATCTAATGTTTTGCATTTTAGAAAGCATAAGATCCATTGTGAAATACTTTGAATATTAGTATTGATAGTTGAATATTAGTATGGATAGTTGTAATTAAGATTTTTATCAAATAGAGTTATTGTTTAGGCATATAATCAGACACACAATATCAACCCAAGTCTGTGAAATTCCAGTCTATGGAAGTGAGTTGTACAGTGTTTGGCTTTGCACTACACCATCTTTTTGGGTGTAATGCAAAACCAAATACTGTATATATGTATGTCTTGCTGAATAGATTGCTTTGTGCCTCTCTCTCTTTTCTAAAGCTTCATAGACTGTTGGTGTAAAAGGACCCCAATGCCATTAATATAGAAAGCCTTACTCTTTCTTGCCTCCATTTCAATCTAATACAGGACCCAACCCCCTGAAACATTTCCTCAATTGCATCTTGACATTCCCAAAGACTGTTTCTTGGGTTACAAATTAAACAATATACTCTCATAAATGCTTTGTGTGATATAAAATTAAAACTGTAGTTTTAATTTTAGTCCAGTTTAATTTTAGTTTATCACATATGTTCAAATATCTTTGAATCCTTACCTGGAATAACACTGATTATTTTTTCAGGGAAAAAAAAAAACTATTTTGTCATTGATTGTGTTTAAGGACCCTGAGAAGTATGTTGAGTTCCCTGGCATTCTTAAAGGCAAGAGGGCAAGCAGTTTTATAAAGGTATTCCAATAACTACTTTATAAAATCTGAAACTTCATGTTAATTTCAGTTTCAACAAAGTAGTTCACATTATGACTTCCCTAAATCTTAACCTAGATCTCGACAAGAAATTAGTTATAATAAAGAGTTAAAGAAAATATTTTAAAGCTGCATTTTGTCCTGTCTCTTAATATTTGATAATTAAAATATGTAAAATTTGCATAATATCCCTAACTTTGTCTCAGCATGTTCATATCTATTCGTCCATCATTTCTCCAACAGCACCTTTGAAAGACACAGCTAGAATCATGATCCCATTTGATTCAGGAGATAATTGAGTCAAAAAGAGATAAAATGATTTTCTGAAAAACACGGGACTAGTGAATACTAGCACCACAGCTAGGAAGCTAGGGTTATGGTGTATAAACCTCATTTATTTCATTTAGAAATGAACAAAATGAATTTTAAGTCACATATAAAGGATAGAAAAGGCTACACCAATGGTGTGATTTCAGGAACTTAAATATTTTCTCAACAACCTTCCACAGACCCTGAACTCCTCACAGTTTCAAGTCAGGCAGTATCCCCAGAAAGTCCCTAGTTGAATGCAAATACACAGTTTCTGATTTACCCAAAATCAATGTACACAATACCTTCTTTCCTGCCACACTTTCCCCACACACCAGTGCCTTGCAGCTGCTGAAATAGGAACCACAATGAAGACGAATGGGACTTTTTAGATTCTGTGGTGCAAAAAGTTAAGAATAAGAAAGCTGTGTAAATCACGAGCGTTATAGATAAAAAGATGCAGAGGCAAACATCTAAATTGGTATGATCTTCTCGTGCTAACTGAAAATAAATCTTTATGTATTATCTGAATCTTTTTTACATCAATGTATTGTTATGTTAAAGTTCTACAAATTCATGATTTATTTAGGTAGCAACTATTCCAATCACTCTCAACCTTTGGGAGTTTAAGGGATTAAGAGTCATTCACACTTTCATGAATTAGTGGAAATTAGTACTCTCAGATTGTTTCCTATTAACAACGTTCTAGGAGTCTGACATTTCTGACTTTGGAGAGTAGGGAAAGGGGCAGCTTGGAGGGAAGAAGGGGCACTAAACACTAAGTATAGTTTGGTTTGTTTTTACTTATTTTCTGTGAACTTAGAAATATGGCAACAGTTTATAAGATGATTTCTACAAAAAATTCTCTAAAGAAACTATCTTGATAGGATTGTTATTTGCTCACATGCTATATAGGATGCATAAAGTATTGACATCCTTATTACATTATAGCCCACAAGACTGAAAACTCCAGCAAACTTGTAATAATAGATGAGAATGCAAAATTTAGAAATTAGACACTTTCTAAAAATCTTAAATGTTCAGGGTCACTAAACTGTGGACTCCTGGGGACTTTAGGAGTAGAACCTAGAAAAACATACTAGAATATGTACTAGAATAATACAAAGAGGTGTAGAAGGCAATAGAGCAAAAATATATTCTTCCTCTCTATTTATACAGGGCCAGTTTTGACAAAGAATAATTTTCATGACAAAATAGACATAAAAGATATTAAGCATTATTTCTAGCCTCCATTTTCAATTTTGATTTTGTGAGGAAATTCAGGACACATGCTCAATGAAAGTGCCATCTTTATTTCAAGGAAACATGTAAACAATGTGAGAAACCTCACAAACATTACACCATAAAAGAGTGAAACACAGCTCTGTCAGTTTCATTTCGAGATTCTCCTTGAGGGAAGGAGGGAGAGAGAGAGAATAAGAACGACAGAAAGAGAAAATGAGAGCTCGATGAGACAAGAACAAACCTCAATTTGTCTAAACATCACATGAAAAGAAAACATTAAAAAGCTTGCCTGCATTTTTACAATGAAAACATGCATCCCACATTCAGTTGTCTTGATTAGCTCCAGTAAAATCTTGGTCTGACATTGCCTGTTACCCAGCATACACTTAAGCTACCTTACCTTGTTATTTATGTATTTAATCCTAACTACCTTTAATTATGACTCAAATATTTAGAATAAAAAACAAGAGGGTTGATCTTCTAAAAAAAAAAAAGTACTTCTTCCAGAAGCAAATATATGAGCTTTATCTTTACTGCTATAACCATTATATATAAAATAGTAGATGGTTGTCTATATTTAAGTGAGCTTGATAGGAAATATCTTTAACTTTTGGGGGTCATGGCCATAATATATCTAATTATTTTGTAAAGAGTGGACAAAAGGATTAGATTATTAATGTAAGAAATATGTTTTCAATCCTAATCACAATTTCAACTGGATGTATATCATTTGGCCGCTTCCAAAGGTAACTATCTAATACAACTTCTTGGCAGATATGTGGATCTACAAAATCCAGAAATGCTGAGGACAAGATTTCCCATAATATTCAATGTGCTACAAGTTCATTTTCTTACTAGAACTTTTCTTAACTGCTTGGGTTGATAGCTTAGATGTCCCAAATTACAATTGATACTAGAAACACAATATCAGAGATTCTTTCTCCACTCTGCCTTACTGTTTCCATTTTAAAAATAGTTGTATTACATTTCTGCTAATAAAAGCCTTTCTAAGGATTCTATATCATTCTTTTGCAAGGCACATTCACATCCTTCAATGAAAGTTGCTATTATCAGAGCAATGTAGTCTTACTATTTACTTATTACAACAGCCCTCATGACTGCTTACCCAGGCAAACACTAGAAATATCTAACTCATTACCACCACATAAAATAGCATGGGGTATTTTCAGAATGAAAGAGATCAGAGCATGACAAATTCTAAAGCTGTTTGTGTCCCTGTTTCTAAAGAAAAGGATGGCTATTAAACAAGCACTGGTAACTTTAACTGTCAAACAAAGAGGATAGATTAGACTCTCATTGAAAATATTGCCCAGCCAAAATCTTGTTGGAAATACCTGTTAGTTTATTACCTTTTTTTTTTTTTTTTTCATTTAAGGTCTCAACGTCAATGGATGTTTTTGGGCCATCTGATGAATGAAAACTGACCCAGATGGAGTCAGAAATCAAAAATGCCTATTGACTTATTCAGCTGGAAGTTGATCCTAGTTTCTATTTAAATCTACTGCTTAAGTGTCAGCATACAGGCTACATTCCTTATCATGGTTCAGGGGGCAGATATTTGGGTCAAAATATTTCTACTCACTCTGTAGCTAATGTGGGCTTTACAATGTTTACAAACAGCTGTTACAATAACCCAAAGATCCGAAGAAAAATGTGACACATTCAAGAATCTGACAGTTAAAAGCCAAGCATTTGTTCAGATAGCACCTTGTGGTTTGAGGTAATAAGACCCACGATCTTAATAGTATTTGTCACATTCAAGCAGCTGTATCCATGAGAGTAGAAGTGACTACCCTCTTACACACCCAGTTACTACTTTGAACCCAGGTCTATATTTTGGCTACCTTGGCAACAGCACAGCAATAACAACTGGTGCCATAATGGCGATGTCAATCCAAGGACATCTTTGGAGAAAGCAGAGGCCCTGACTTTCAACATAGAGAGGCAGAAAGAGCACATAAAATAAACTGAGAAGTTGGTGTCCATAGCACTGCTCATACACTGAGACTCTAGGATATTTATTATAATAGCGATGTTTTTACAAGCCCAGTAATTTTCTAATGGCTGGCTGTTCTTTTGTCAAAAAAACAAAAAGCCAGAAAACATTTCAGGGAAATGGGTCTCTGCAAGCAGGAGTCTACTTTTTTTCTATTTTTGTCTGAAATGAAACTATGAAGGATAAGCTATGCATTACCTTTGACCATATTAATCAATGTAGGTTTTCACACAATCATTAAGATGAAAGAGTTTGTAAACAACAATGAAAAGAGACAAAATTCATTGCTCAGCCTTCCCATGGAGGGTCTCTTATAATTGGTCACTATTACCTCTCCTTCTGGTCACATGGTCAAAATACATTTCCCTATCCTCAGGACATGAAACACACTTCGTGTCCTCATTACTTGCCTTGGTTAATGAAATGTGAGGAGAAGTGATAGGTGTCTCTTCAAGATGGAATATTTAAAAGGAAATTCGGTTTGCTATTGTTCCCTACCACTGTCAAGGCAACCAGCAGCATTCCAGATGATAGAAGCTTCATCAACCTGGAGTGAGAAGATGTAGAGCTGAGTTCCCAGCTGTCCTGGGATGAACACGTAATATGATCAATAAATATACATTTGTTGCACTTATCTACTGCAGTTTTGGAGGTGTTATCTCAGTATAACCTAGTCTATCCTGATTACACTGAGTGCATAATTTTTAGAAATCCAAAGAATGCCTTTCCTTAACTTTTCACAGAATCAGATGCTACAAAGAAGATAATGCTTCAAATCTCTTCACCAGAAAGAGATAGACTTTTTTTCTGGACTGGCTAGAGAGAAAGTATAGAATCATGAATTTATGGTTAAACTATGTTCTTCAGACAGAAACTCACATTTCCACTTTGACTAATTCAGATGAACTGTTTTACTGCCTGAGCTACTCAGAAAAATTGCTTTAATTTATTGTCTTGTAAAACAAACCAAAGTTTTATAAAATAATATTCAGACCCTTTTCATTTTCTTTTGTGTGTGTGTGTGTGTGTGTGTGTGTGTGTGTACCTTCACATCCCCTCTCTTTTCCCTACAGTCACTTTCTCTCCACTTTACTTATGTGGTATTCTCCTATCTGACAACAAGAGAAAGTGATTATTACTACTTTATATAACAGATTCTGGCAAAGTAATTGTGCTTCTGTTTCCACGGTAATTTAGGCTGTTTCTGCTGTAAATGGAAAGCAAAGTTACATGTCAGCCTTATGGAATCTTTGCTAGTGATATCAGTTCCTTTAGGTATTTCTAGACTCCAAAAACCACATGGACCATTTGTAATATAGGTGAAATAGAGAACATGTAACTTTAAAGCAGTCCTACTGTGTTTCTCTGCCTTTTTTTCTGAGATCAACCCAGAACAATTCAAGTGGTGTTTCTGTGAGCATAGTTAAATGCATAGAAAATACGGTATATGTGTATGCATGCATGCATGATCATATGTTTAAGGTAGAAAAATACACTTTAATCACCTAGATATGATCATTTATCCATTTTTAAATTATGATGAATAATGTAATTATATTTGTTCATACATTCTTCAGAATTAACCACAACAAAAGTCATACACAGACGTATTTGGTAGAAGACCATGAGGACTTCCAGAAAAATCCAAGAGGCAAAGTGTATTCTTTATGTTACTAATCAGAAGTAAATTCTTTGTCTCAAGCCACAGAGTTTTTTTTTTTTTAACTTTATGAAGCATTATGGTATGGTGTAATTTTTTCAAAAAGATTTCTTTATTTGCAGAATATCATATTTTTCTGTAAAATAATGGTTTTATACAAGATTTAATATTTGCATTTGCTTCTATATCATATATATCAATATAGAGTGTTTCCAAAGATATTCATAAGGAAACAAACATGTATTATTCCACAGGATTAAAATGAATGGCTAGAAATAAGCTAATATCTCCTAAAATTAAACATGTATATTAATTTGAAAAGTATTTTACTTGGATAATTTATTATCTATTTATTACAACAATTAACATAAATTTCTCAATTTAAAATAATTTAAATTCATTTTTCACTATCAAATATTGACAGAAAAATTCAGTAATGATTTTTTTTAAAAATTCCCCTATTGCCCAAACCTGTATATTTTTAAAATTTATTTGACCATAACAATATCATAAATTTAAGTATTATTTGAATGGACCACATTCCATATTCACATTTTATTCTCTGTGAATCCGTGGCTTATAATGGTATGTATATATGAATTAAGGAGAATTTGTTAATAAAACAATAATTTTGATACCATTGTAGACCTCATGATAGTTATGGTTCTCAACAGGGGATTTTTAAAAGAAAACTCCCCTACCAGAGTTACCCACATGCCCACCTGCATCTTTTACACATGAAAATCCACTTCATTGTTCAGAGCCTTTATTAAGAAGACTGTTGACTTCAATGCTAAAAATATCCTAAAGGATTTCTGATTGTTCCAGGAAATTCCTGAGGAATCATTTTTCTGGTGATTAAACTGGTCATGTGTCTCTAGTAGTCCAGGTCGAGGTAGGCATAGGTTGGGAGTGTTACATTTTCTGAGCACCCATTATAAGTTCAAACCCCTTTTGGCCCTTTACATATCATATTTAGTATTCATAATCAGTCCATGATGAAGCAATTATCCCCTGATTCCAGAGGAGGGGCTGAAGCTCAGGGAGGCGGGTAATGTGACAATGTCCACATACCTGGTAAGAAATAGAGTAAGAATTTATAATTTAAGTCTGTTTAGCTTTGATATCGATATTATTCCATTATCTCATGTTGTTTCCCAGAGGGTACAATTGCTGCTTCACTAATTTAATATTTATTTTCAAAATAATTGTCTACAGGTAGTTGACCAATTATTTTCCTCCTGCGAAATTAAAATATACAGGAGATGTATGGTTCAAATTATCTATCCATTTAAATTCATCAAGAATTTGACACAATAAACTAAAAAGTGCCGAGGAGAACTTTATTAAGGGAGCAAAAATATATAAGAAATGGCTCTACATTTTGGACAGCTGCATTTGACTTATATACTATTTAAGGAGGTTTGAACTGATTCTCAGAACTAAATGTGTATATTCCCTGGTCTTTTTTTCCACACCCTTTTCTTTTCTTACTTTTTAAAGTGGCTTGATGTATTAGAGATGAAGCAGGTCCTTGACTCCTACCCATTTATCCAATATTTGGAAAAATCTGAGTTAGAACTATAATTTATTCTCTCTCTGTCAGCCAAAATGAGACCATAAATATAAGGGCATTTTATCTACTGTCTATAGAGTCTGCTGCTTTGATCCTGCCTCCTTCTCCAATCAAATTCCGGAAATATTTCTAATTGTAGCCTTATGATTCTCAGAGGGTGCTGTGCTTTTTATTTTCAAACTTATATAAAATCTTTTGGTATTTTTCCTCTCATGTTTATAATTTTGACTTTGATTTTTGCATTCACATTTTCTGAATTTTACAGTAAGACCTTTTTACCATACCTTGTTCCTCTTTTAAGGTTTGTTGCAAAATTCTAATTAACAGATTGAACAACAAAAGAACCCACTGAACACCCACTAGATTTTTTTTGAAGGAGGGGAAACATTCTATAAAAAACACTGAACACTTTAAGACACACACTGATGAACACCTACTTCTTAATGAAATTCATCACCACCTAAATTCAGTTCCTTCTTTCCCACATCATTGCTTCAAACCCCTACACACAAACACCCTTGTAAGACCAGTTTTAATAAGCATATACACCATAATATATATTTTCAAAAAAGCATTTGTAAAACTGTAAATCTTGATTTGTATTTCACATAGATAATAATTTCTTCAATGTTTGACTTCCATTCTGTTGTGTCAACGAGATGATTTACTCTGTTTGTGCCATCATAATTCAAAGATCATTTTTAAAATTATTATTTTTTCTTAAAATTGAAAAGATATAATTTACCAAATTTTTTTGTTGTAGATGTTTTTAAGAAACAGATTTTTAAAAGCAAATTAGTAATGAAGAGAGGGAAGCTGAAAGCATACTAAAGAAAGATTTATGATGGTCAATAGAGAAGAGCAATGTTGAGTAGAGATTTTTTGTTTCACATAAAATATATGAAAGGTAGTGTGCAGCCATTTTGTAGCTTAAGTCCTAGAAGACATCATTTTGGGTTATACTTAGTATAGGTGTAAGCATATATAGTATAGGTGAAAGAATGAAGAAACACTTGCTTATACATACTTTCTTAAGTTTCAAGGGGAAAAAAAAGCCTAACAATTTTACATATGCAAGGTTTAGTCCATAAAGAGAATAGGAATATCTTATCTTTTATTCAGCTAACAGGTTTTAGCAGTTTTCTGAATACTTATGAGTAGCTCAGAAATTCATATAAGTTCATGTAATTCACACAGCATCTGTTGTGAAAAAAATAAAGTGATAATTTACATCCAATTAAAATATTTTTCATTAGATAAAATGCTTTAATAAACCAACAAATTTATGTAAGAAAACATTATTCATTGAGAATAAAACAAATCTTTCTACAGAGTATGCAAAAAGTCCAAGATTGGTCAGCTAGAAAAGGTGTGAGTCAGTCATTTATGTAAAATTTTAATACGTTGAGTACTTTTTTAAAAAAACTGTGTGTCCTTATTGTCTTCCAATTTGTATAAGTTATTTAAAAGCATATTTGCTCATTGGATGCATTCTTATTAAACTGCTAAAACAGTATATCTATCAAACCCCTTGTATCTACTATAGAAGTAGAAATTTCAGGAATGCTTCTTACACACAATCACCTTTCTGTCTTTTAAAAGCTTGCCAATTGTGCTACATAGGAATATATGCAAGCATAGTTTAAAAACAAGTTAAAAGTTTTTTTTTTCATTTCTTTTTCTGATATAAGGATTCTTTACCTTTAAAAATAGGCTTATATTCAATTTGGCAGGAAATTATGCAAATACATTCTGTAAGGGCAGATTCCAATGGTACAACATGAAATAAACTTAAGAAAAAGGGGGAGTCAAGCAAAGAGAAAGTTGGTGGGTCTTGCTATTTTTTTATACTTTAAATATTTTTAGGCCTCTTCACCACTGCTGTTGGGTCATTTCTCTTAGCTATACTAAAGAGCCTTTGTCAGTCTGGAGGAGGCAGCCATGTGTCCATGAATGCTTATTTAGTACGGTGAGGACAGATGGCCTGGAATTGCTGAAGAAGACCTTAAGATATATTTAAAAGAGGAAAGGGAAAGAAACAATAAGGGAGGAAATAAATTAGAGAAGAGGCAAATGTGTGGCAAAGAAAAGTACACACACACATAAACACACACACATGCAAGCCACATGCACACAAATGCAGACAGACTATAAAGTGGTAAGTAGGACCTGTTTTTTTATAGATTTGTCTTTTCTGTAGAAATTTTGGTTTATATTATTGTTGATTTGTTGTCTTTTTAGCAGAAATCTGACAATAACCATCACCACCGTTCTGAGCTTAATCTGTTCATTGATGTGTAGTATACCTTTTATTTTATAGTATCCAAACTTGAAATGTGGATTTTGAATTGTAAAAGCTTGGGGGTTTTACTTAAATAAATATGAGTTAAATTGAAATCCCTGACAGCCTAAGAGTCAATGCTTTAACATAATTTATGTTAGAGTATATCATAATTAATCTTGCTTAGCATTTCCACCCCCACCCTCCCCCCGCCGTTTCCTGTTATTTTAAGAAAATATACACACTATTGCCCAATCAAAACCTCATACAGGAATATGTTATGTACATTGAGAAGGGAAGAGGAAGCGAGGGTGGGGAATGGATGGGCATGGGGACATGTGTTTTCAAATATAAAGATGTGAGATGTTGTGAGATGACAAAAGTAACATTAGTGGATTTTTATTATGTATTTTTTCTTTTCAAGTTATCATATTAACATCTTCCTGTTTTCTTCAGATTTATTCCATTTCAACCATGGTATGACTCTGGCAGGTAACAGAGGACTATTGCTTCAATTGGCAGGTTTTCTACTGCTCATAAAACAAATATTAGATTCCAAATTTCTTCTTATTGCCTTCTGAGTTGTCATGGTTATCGAATGACACTTTCTCTAAATTCTCTCTTTTGTGACTGTTTTCTATGCTTTGTAAAAACAGAATGCTTGAAAAAAAAAACATGAAGTTTGAGTGCTAGAAGAAGCAAAAGCAGCAAGAAACACAAGAGTAAGAAGGAAAGAAACATTTTGTTAACCACAACTTGAAATTAAAAAGATTTTATCCAGAAGCATTAAATGTCACTAAGTACAATAAGGCTAAAAAATACCTGCTTTATATAATGGTTGTCTATACAAACCCTTGGTTACTTGCTGCCTGCCTAGTAAGTTACTCTTGCATTGTGGTTAGAGCTCTTCTGCAACAACCCTAACCCCCCATATCCCCACCAACCTCCACCACCACCAATGAAAAGGCAGCCAGAATGCTGGATCATTCTGAAGTAAATATAAGAAATTTTTTTTTGATAAAGCACCTTTAAAAATAGAATAGCAAGAAGATTCATAAACAGAGCATCTGAAAATGTACAATACTTTTGTCTTACAAAAACATCTGTTGCTCAGATGAGTATTTTGAGCATTGAGTGCTTTAGATTACCCCTCAGAAGGTGTGTTGGGTGGTGGCTCTCTGTGGACTTGGCTTCAGGGAGGTCAGCCTGACTCCTTGGCCTGTTGGCTCAGCAATTTCCCAGTGGTCAGCCAGTCTTACCATAATCACATGCTGGCGCCCCAAGCCTGTTTCTTAACTGTACTCTGTGCCTTCTAATGAAAGCATCCCAAAATATCCCCAACCGCTCAAATTCTGGGGCAGCCGTGACCTCAGACTGGACTGCTGGACATACATTTGCTCAGACAGAATGGTTGATAAAAATCTCCCTGTGGTAATGACTGAAATGCTTGCTCTCTCTTCGCTAGTTTTTGTCACTTCATAGCTTATGATTCCATACATGATTTCGAGTCTTTGACATGCAGCTGACTAGGAAGCTCTAACCCAACACACAGCACCACAGTTTCATGAAAGTTTGAGCCATTAGTGATAAAGAAACAAAGAAAAACTAACTGTAAAGTAACTTTTTGTGTGTAAAGCAACAAATACAACAATAACAGCAATAAAAGGTAACCTATGAAACTTAAAACAGATAAGTCACTTGAAAGTTTTTTGAAAAATGTTGTTTACTCTTCCCTGCAAATAGAAAATATTATGACTATTTTTAAGTAGCATTCCCAATTTAATTTATGGAGGACATACACCAAAGTGGCTGTGGATAAACAAGTGATACTGGACTTCATTACAGTCTTTTTGGTGAGACTTCAGAAGTTTTGAGGATAATAAAACCAAATGAGAAGGGGTCACTTCTCATGAAAATTTCAACTCCATTAGCAGGCAAGCGAAAAGGAGCTGTATCTGAACCCAACAGGTGTTCCTCAGGGTACTTCTCAAGCTTTTGTGTTATCAAATAAGGTAACAGTGTCTTTCCAATGTGGTTTGAACAGAAACAATATTTTCATAGCTTGTTAAGGAAATGAGCAAAAAATAAAACTTAAAGAAAAAACAGAGACATTTATATTGTTATCTCGCCATGTTTTATGTGTATTTTGAAAGTTTTGAAGCTTCTTTTCAGAAGAATGCTTATAGATATATAGCACAATTCACACAACTTGATTCTTACATTAGCTAGAGCTTGTGTTTGAACTAGCCTCTTGGTATTAAATCTTTTATTTTCTTCAATGAAAAAGAATTAGTTGTTAAAAAAGGGTGACACAAAATATACTGACATGGCTTTGTTCAACCACAATACATTATCATTTTTATGATAGTGACTTTCTCCCTAAAAATATGCTTCGTAAATGTGATTGAATGAGAAGGGGAAAAAATCTTTTATTATCTCATCCCTGGAAAGCTTCATTGCCTAAGCTACACTTACTTGCTCCTAAGTATTACAGTATTGAAACAGGTTAGTATGTTGTATAGCAAGTAACTAACGAGACACTAATAGGGATTCCCCCCATGCAGTTAAATACAGCTTGGCAAAAATAATTCCTCTATTATTTATATAAAAGAATATTAAAGCCCCCAAATCTGATTTGGTCTTTCAATAACTAACTCATTTCCTTATAATAAGATTCAGAGTTCAAATTTATGTATGTCACTTTCCTGAGTCTGTTTTCTAAATGTAAGAAAATATATTTATATATAGTATGCAAATATATATATGATAAATACTAATGATAGATATTATACATTTACCATTATCTATATAATGATAGGCCACTTCTTATAACAAGGAAAAAATGTACAAATTCAGTTTAGCCTAGGAATTCTCTGGGTCTTTGGCTACTATCTTCTTGTTTTTCTTTCTCCTCTGGGGGAGAGTAATAAGACAGGCCTGATAAGACTCACAAGTAGTGTTGAAAACAAGTAAAAGTCAATTTACTTCACTAATTTTTGACATGCTGCTTTCTTTTACTGCAGAACGCTAACTCTTTTTTTCTTTTCAGAATCAGTCAATTTTTTTTTTTTTGCAATCTATTTTTTCCCTTAGAAAGTAACCCCTTGTGTCCTACCTTAGGCTCCTCACTGAATGATCTCTTTTTCTTCTAATTATATTTCTTCACCTTGGGAGGGACTCACACTGCTTCAGGATAAGCAACCCAGCAGAGCCTAAGGTCAGGTGTGCCCTAGAATCTAACTCTAGAAATTACAACCATGGAATAAGAGTAGGAGAGGGAAAGAAGAGGCAGAGTGGGAAATTTGTAACGATATTGAGGATCATTCTAAGGAATAATTAACCGAGCAACATCCTATGTTACATCATTTGCTTGAAAGCTCAGAGAACAGAAGAAGGAATTTAGGAAGCTGATCTGAATTTGCTTTCTAAAAGCCACAGGGTCAGCAAATTAGTTGTACCAATGGCGAACCCTTAGAATTTCATTTCCTAAGTATTTTTTGCTCTGGATTCCAAAAAACAGAGTTCTATTCATGAACTGGCAAAACACAGTGTGCCAATGGCATATTAGGTATTTAAGATACTCAAATTAACAACATCTAAAGAAGAAGCAGCGGACTTAATTTGATAGGTGGCTTTCATTCCTCTTTAAAAAAATGGGGCTCAATGAAGCAACCGTGGGGGCCAGCAAAACAGATTTCCAAGATAATTCTTCAAGTGAAAGGGAATTCTATTTGAGGAGAAGTATTGGGATCTTGTGAAACATAAAATCTTCAGGTAGAGGAATTGTAGGTAGAAAATGGAGAAACATTAGCAGAGCTTTTAAACCAAATCTTCAGCTGGGCTTTTGTTTAACACATATGCAAATTTGTGCACTGCTTCACTTGAATATTTATTTACTGCATTTGTGAAGGAAATTGGGGGATTATAGCCTCTTCCCAGCTGTGTTTTAGTTAATGACTGGTCAGCCTATTAGCCTGCTCTACTAAACGGATTCTCTGCACAAGCAACACCTTTTTTTACCCTGACTAGAAATTATTCACATAAACAACAGTGGGGGAAAACAGCAAACCAGATCCAGGGAGAGTTGTGCACCAAAGATGAAAATATTCCCCCAAAATCATCAGGAATAAGCAAGAAAGTTATTTGATGATGATGACTTCTGCATTTTTATAATAAACAAAGCAAACATTTGCTATCAAATGTTGTGGGGGAAAGAAGGAGTTTCCCAGTCAAAATGTGTCTTTACTGAAAAGGGATTCAGGATGCTGTCTTAAGGGGCCTTTTTCTTCTTTTTCTTGTACTTGCTCATTTGTTGCCCCCTATAAGCACAGACATGTTTATCAATGAAAGTTTCATAAATTACTTGGGTGATTATTAATATTTGACATATTCACTGGATGCCTGAATTCACTATTTTCCCATGTCTTCTTATTGCCAAAGAGACAGAAGGAGAAAGAGTAAATAACATTTCTCTAGCAACCAAACACAGTGTACTGTCATTGTTCAAACCAACTCATTTACAGGCATCAGTCCTGGTTTTGAGATAAAATACTTGTATAATGACAAGCTCATTTCTAAAGATTACTAGTGAGCAAATCTTTAGATCAAAAAGCTCTAATATAATAACCTTTGTCTAGCATTCTATCATTTATTGATAAGAAAAAGTAGCATCTATTTTCTAGTAAGTTTATATGTCTCAATCAATAGGGAAGAATGCCTCTTATTCCTAAAGTGTCTGTCTTCTTTAAATCCTTTCAAATTTTGTTTAATGTAGATCCATCCTTCTGGGTGAGAACATGCACTAATTCTAATACAATTAGAGTTAGTTGTATTAGAGTTAATCGATGGAAATGAATGAGCCAAATTCTTACCACCAAAGTTCTGAATTTTTTCTGGCTGGGTCTAAGAAAAACCTGCACTTTGATTTGCTTTTATGAGTAAGGTGATCTTTGTAGAATACATTTAAATGAAGTATTTATCGAAAGTATTAATATTTAAGATGATTTATATAAACAACTCATTTGTGCCTGTTTAAATAGGAAGTATTTCTGCAAATAAAGAGACAGCAGCAGAGAAATTGAGAGCTACTTGGACATGAGAAAATGTTATTGGTGCAAAATGATAATTTCTCACAGTTGGAAAATTGAATATTGTGTGTTAGACTGACAACTTAAATATTTACAGAACAACAACAAATAATAAAGGGAAAGATGCTGTCAGACTTCAAGATAAATAGAAAAGTAACAATTACATTCATAAAAGAATATTACAAGGATAAATATTTTACCTAAGAAACCTGATTTACTTATTTAATTGCTAAGATCATATCCCTTTTCCCTATAATACTTATAACCTCTTTCAAGATAGCAGAAAAGTTTCAGCTATACAGTTTATGCCATACTCCTACATTGGAAGTGAATGGGATGTATATATCAATGGCATCATTTTTCCCCTTCAAACATGAATTTATAAACCATCTCATAAGCTCATCAGGCATATTTCTTGTTCATTCCTTCTGTGGGCAGAGGCAGACAGATTGCTGGATCAGATAGTGCAATACGCTGTATACTGCATTTGAAATGTGCCTTTTTTAAAAGCAGCAGATTTATTGATTTTCTTAAGTAGAAAATATGCACCCGGACATTAGACAAACACAGACTAAACACAGACTGAGGAAAAGCTGATAATTTGATTAAACTGACTGAGCTTTTGTTGTCTGTGTTTGGGGAATTTCCAATAATGTACAAGTGCCAAGCGCCCCTCTTCTGAATTTAACAAATCTAATCCCTAAGCACAATGAAGTTTACAATTACCCTGTATTTGGAGAATTGTTTATCTTTAGAAAAATATTTTGTTGAACTAATATATTCCTTAGGTTGAAAGGAAAGTGGGGTGAATATCTTGCCTTGCTCAAGATACAGGACTTTACTCAGAAATAGGTAATTATTAACCAGACAAATAGCATTGGATGTTGATGCTATAGTTGCTGATATATGCTTATACCAGTAATACCATGAATTTTATTTTGTTGATATCTATGTGTTATTTTGTTTAGTTGCATCTTAACTAAAATATTTAATGTCTAAGAAATATTTTATGTCTATATATTATTTCATAAATGGAAATAGGACATCATTTTTTAAAACATCATTAAGTATTTGAATAATCAAGAATATTGAGAAATAATTGATAAAACGTAATTTACTCAATTTGGGGGCCAGACTGAGTATTTCAGTTTCAAAATGCTTCACTGTGTAGTATCATTTCACATGTCATAGAGAGCTGTTTGACTGTCTTCAGATGTCAAAAAGCTCTGGTTATTTAATTTACCTTTGCAGATGCCTGCAATGAAATTAGTGGCAGCAGGTGTGTGTGTGGGTGGGGAGCTAGAGGGATGAGGGAGTAATAGCTAAAAGTATGTGAGGATTGCTGAGTTTTATGAATTAGTTGAAGGAGACCTTATGAACTTTTATTGTGAACACCTCTGAACTGTCCTTGTATCTCTTTTTTTCTCATTTATACCATGATATTTAGAACAGAATCTAATTCCCTAATATTCTGTAAACACCATGCTGTAAAATAACTATTCCCAGCTGCTTCACCATAGAGACTCTTATCTTTACTGTTTCCAAAGCCTCCACTTGCTAGGTGTTTAATTATTCTTTTTGCATATTGTTCTGAACCTCCTATTAACCATTATTTCACAATGATATGTACCACTAGCTGAATCCTGAGATTTTCATGTCTTATCATAATGATATTTTCCCTCTTTCTAATTTCTGCCAACTCGATTCATATTGGATAGCTCTTCCAGAACTCTCCACTCTAGCTCATTTGGCTAGTAAGATATTTGATTACAACTTTTCAAAAATTTCTGTGCATATATTTGAAGGTCTAGATTTTTTTCCTTAGCCTATGTATACACATATGCATACATAAATATATATTTATGCATATATTTATATGCATAATTTATAAATGTATACATGGATGTTTATACATATACATTTATGTATATATACACACACACACATATATATTTAAGCAGAGATAGACCCTAAAAGGTAATTATTACAGTGACCAAGTAGAGTCACAACGCAGAAGTCACCAGTTTCATAAAAACTGCTGATCACTGGTGGGACACCTAAAGAATTAGCAAGATAATTTCAATCTTGCTTCTCATTACTTACTGAAATTAAAATTCAATTACAGAGTCTACTGTGCTTTTTTAATTTCTTTCAAATCTAGAATATTTATGGCAAATTAAGGTAACACTGAAGTTTAAAATCATTTTGCTTTTCTTGTATTAAGATAGGAATTATTGAATGATTGATCTCAGTTGTTTTGAGGATGTTTAAACCAAGCCACATAAGAGACAGATTTAAAGATAATTTAAACCTATTCTCTTTCTGATTTGCCTCTCTGCCTCTTAAGTGTATGACAAAGACATTTTCCACCAATTCTTTTTCACCCAGCATGAACTCATTAGGGGAAATAACATATAAGGAAAAGCAAGCTGCCAGTTTCTCAGAGGACATTTTATTAGATGTGTGAGTCTTATTCCAATAACTTCCAATGGCAATTCAAATATGTCTCATCTCATTCTGTAATTAATATTTTTACATTTAGAATTAATATATGTATACACACACAGATTCTTTTTAGTGTTCTAAGAACTCCATCAAATGTAACCAAATTGTAGTCTTTTTAACTCATTTTCTTGCTCCTTTAATCCACCCTTATGAAAAGAATCTGGGGGAGAAAGTCATTCTCACTAACCGCATCAAATATGACATTCTGGTGCTTAATATTGGGATGATAGTTTTCCTTAGAGAAGTCAATCTATTTGGTTGAATGACTAGAACTCAGGAAACCTTGTGATTTCACCTTGGGCAGTTTATGTATTTTTTCTCCATATCTGTTTCCTCATCTGCAAAATAAGAAAGTTAGAATAAATGTTCCTTCCAACTTAAGGCTCTAAAGTAATAATATTTATGTTCTATAGAGTTTTATTTTCTCTCTGTTAAGACTTTCTTTTATTTACAATGATGAGACCCTTTGAACTTGATAATCAGGGCTGTCATTAGAGTCTAGAGTCCCTGGGTATTGAGTCAAACTCCTATGACCCATACTCCATGAAACCTAATTCAAATCACAAAACAATGCTGTGGGTGGTATAGTTGTGTGCTCTAGCAGCATGTGGGAGGCTTTACTGGAAGGTATCAACTGAAAGGAAACACACATGAAAATATCCCGTCACCCACACTGAAACCTTCCGCAGTAGACTGAGGCCTTTCATGGGATCTCCCAAGCTTGACCGCCCACTGATGCTATCCTGTCATCAAACTTCTCTTCTCTCTTTCAAAAAATTATTAAGCACAGACTCTTATAATATATTCTTTGCTGGTGATGCGTCTTCCAAATACCTTGAAATAACTAGCTTTTCATACAAGGTTTTAATGCATTTATTTTTTTACCCAAACATTCTACATAGTTTTTTCTTCATAGCACTTGAAATTTCCTGGACTTTGGTAGGATGGAGAAAAAAACAGACTTGGTAATCTCTATTGAGGAAATTGTTTTTAGATAGTAGCAACATTATTTCCTATATCTAAATAGAAAGAAATAACTTTGCCTTAAATGTAGGTTATTCAATTATTTTTAAAGTAGCAGAAGCTTTTATTAATTGGCAGTCTTCTTAAACTCTTAATTTTATCTCTTGACAACAATATTTAGTTTAGATTTTAATTTTTATTGTTTTCATGGATATATGTTTTTTTCAAAGATGTAACATGCCTTAACTGGACTATAAGTCTACACAGATTACGTATGACCAAATGTTAGCCATATTCTCTTATAAAAAAAAGCCATTACTGTTTTCAAAGTGTTATTTCTTCTAATGCAGATATTTACAGTAATGCAAACGAAATTATAATAACCTATTAGGTTTTTAGAGTAGAGAAGAATGATATAGCTGCCCATGTCATGTTATTCATATATTCAGAAAACTAAAGGCTGCTTCTTGGCTGGATGTGGTGTCTCACACCTGTAATCCCAGCACTTTGGGAGGCTGAGGCGGGTGGATCACTTGAGGCCAGAAGTTTGAGACCAGCCTGGCAAACATGGCAAAACCCCGTCTCTACTAAAAATATATTTTAAAAAATAGCTGAGTGTGGTGGCGCACACCTATAATCCCAGCTGCTGGGGAGTCTGAGGCAAGAAAATCACTTGAACCTGGGAGGCAGAGGTTGTAGTGAGCAGATATCATGCCACTGCACTCCAGCCTAGGTGACAGAGCAAGACTCTCTCTCAAAAACAAAGAAAAAAAAGAGAAAAGAAAACCAAAGGCAGCTTCCTCTAATCATTAACAGTATTATAATTATTTTAAGTACTCTCTTAAGAAATCACACATAATAGTAAAAGTATAGATTTTTTCATAGTAGTAAGTTAATGATTTTTATTCCAAAGATAGATATTTATCAAAATTTAACCTACATTACTTGAACAAGTATGTATTGATCTAGACAATAGTGGTAGAGAAGGAGGAAGGTATAGATAAGATATGGTTCTAGACACAAAGTTATTCCTAATCTATTGGAAGAGATAAGGAAGGGGTAACAGTAACTATAGTAGAAGGTGGTAAGACATTTAAATTTAAAAATGTGTGTGTGTGTGTGTGTGTGTCTGAACTGAAAGTTTTGGCAGGAAGAAACAGGGAAGACTTCAGGTGAGGTTGACATCTGTGTTGCTCTTTAAAGGAATGACTATTTCAACATATGGAAAAAGTGGGGAAACCTCTTGACCATGTGAAGGCAGTGGCATCACCACTGTGTTATTAACCAAGTTCATTCAAGAATGATAAGCAGACCAGACACAGTGGCTCATGTCTGTAATCCAAGTGCTTTGGGAGGCTGAAGCACAAGGTTGGCTTGAGGCCAGGAGTTTGAGACCAACCTGGGCAACACAGTGAGACCACATCTCTAAAAAAGGAAAATGATAAGTAGGATTTGGCGGGAAAAGTGCAGGGTATTTGGAGAGAACTTGCAGGTTGTGTATCACAAAAGTTAGGCACTTCCTGATTTGTAGCGGGCCTTGAAAGCCTTAGGTTTTGTTTTATAGGCAGTAAGAACTCATTAAGGTGAATGAAGATAGAAGAAAATGAGTGGCTTGCAATAATGAACTGGGAGACAGAAATGAGCAGTCAAGAGAGAATCATGTAGGGAGAGAATACAATAATGTGGATAAACCAAAATGAAAGTCTGAATAAAAGAATGCCAATAGAAAGGAAATGGAGCCATTAGGTGCATGAGAAATTCCAGAAAAAAATTCAGAGATTATGAAGACTATTAAATATATGTCCATGGGGGGAATGTACGGACACAAAAGGGATTTGAGACTGGACTGCTAGAAGAGTGATAAAACTACTAACATAAAACACACATGGGGATGGTAAGAAAAGAAGACAAATATGGTGAAAACAACTTTATGCACATTATTTAGAGCCATCCAAATGACACTGGAAAAGGAACTCAGCTACAGCAGTGTGACTGTGATATGGTAGAGTAGGAGAAGCCTGAGCTTTTTTTATACCGGAAGAAGTAGTATAAAACGAAAGTGTTAAATGAAATGAAAGGCCAGGTAATAAATCAACTAGAGAATGATATCAAAGATAATTATATTTATCATTGAAATATTCTTTCTGTCACCAATTAAAAACCTCTTCATGCCTTCCTCTCCCAGCCCTGACCTTCTCCCAGGCTTGAGATCTTGATTATGATCTGAACTGTGAAGTTAGAATGAAGAATTAGTTGGTTGTTATCTTCATAGAGGTGAAAGTAAGACTTTCGGAAGTGGATGGTATCAGGAAATGCAGTGAGAATAGGGAAGATAAAGGAAAGAGCCTTAGAGGAATGCCTAGATTTAGGTTTGTAATAGAAGCAAGAGAAATAGAGAAAGCAAAGGGAGAGACATTGGAAGAGAATCTAGAGAGAAAGTGTCAGGAAAATTGACTTTTCTGGAAGGAGGAAAAGAGAAGTGGTCAAGAAATCCCATATGCTTTGGTGAGATTCATGCAGATAGTAATGAGAGGAAGCAACCAGAGAAGAAATATTATAAGATGTTTGACTCAAAGGCAAGATTTTCAGATGTTGCAGGGAGATGTAGGGACTGTCCTGATTAAGGCTGAGTAGGACAAGGTAAATACTAGGTAGGGAATGAGGCAATGGGTGGATAGGACAAAAGTGGCGAAAAAGAGAGAGAGAAAAAAAGAAAGAATGAAAGAAAGAAAGAAAGCAAACAGTGGGGAGACAGGGTCAAAATTTGTGTGGAATTTGTAATCATGCATAAAAGTTGATTGAAGAGGTTATGTGGAAGAACTTTTTAGGAATAAAGAAGAATTTGGTTAAAATAATGTGTAGAGGGCCTGGTGCAGTGGCTCACGCCTGTAATTCCAGCACTTTGGGAGACTGATGCCGGTGGATCACCTGAGGTCAGGAGTTCAAGACCAGTCTCACCAAAATGGTAAAACCCCCGTCTCTACTAAAAATACAAAAATTAGCTATACATAATTGTGGGTGCCTGTAATCCCAGCTACTTGGGAGGCTGAGGAAGGAGAATCACTTGAACCCAGGAGGCGGAGGTTGCAGTGAGCTGAGATCATGCCATTGCACTCCAGCCTGGGTGACAAGAGTGAAACTGCATCTCAAAATAGTAATAATAATAATAATAATATAGAGAGCTAATCATCCCCAAAGTTGCAGTTGTAATGTCAAAATGTCTGACAACTTGAAATCTTGGTCATCAAGGTTTATTGGTTCTACTGAAAACCTTGCCATTAAGCTGATGATATTAGGTCACAGATTTTGAGACAACAGTCTGATATAGACTGAACTGTATCCTGCCAAAATGTATATGTTGAAGTTCTTACCCCCAATATGATTATATTTCCAGTTGGGGCCATTGTAAGGTAACTAGGTGCAGATGAGGTCATAAGGGTTGAGTCCTCATAGTGGATTAGTGCCCTTATAAGAAAAGACATCAGACAACTAACTCTCCTTCTGCCATGAGGGGATGCAGCAAAAAACTGGCCAACTGCAAGCCAAGAAGTGAGTGTTCACCAGAACCTGACTATGCTGTCACCCTGTTCCTGAACTTTCAGCATTCAGAACTGTGAGAAATTAAGTTTCTGTCATTCAAGCCAGTCAGTCTATGATATTTTGTTATGGCAGACCAAACTGACTAAGACTCAGTCATTGATACTTTTTTTCCCCTAATTTGTGGTATTTATAGTTGTACCATCTTATTATCATCTCATTCAAGATCGTGAAACTTGTGAAAGAATTAAAACAGAATCCTACTCTTCAAAAGGTTTGAATAGAAATAAGTAATAAGTGATTAAAATAGAATTTAGGCTTGTGAACTAATAAAAAAAAGTAATAAAAATCATAAAACAGAGAAAGAAAGGAATGAAGGATAAAAGAAATAGAGTCCTTTGGAATCATAAAATGTCTTGCAAACGTCATCAAGTAGAATAGATTAGCAACAATACCAATTGAAATGGATTGACCTCTTACTACATTCTAGGCACCTTCACTTTCCAAAGCTTTTTCATTTATCCTCAAATAACCTTCTGAGGAAGGTGAAATACCATTTCTACCCTCATTCTATAAGGTAAAAATAAAGCCCAGGGAGGTAAAATGAAACTTTCCCAATATTACAGTGAAATAGCAATTCCAATGCAAGCCTATGAAAGAGCTAGGACTATACTTTAAAGCATTCATATGCTCCATAAGATTTACCTCAGTAAAAACTATTTTCTCCTTATTTTTTACTTATATATAAAGCTACACCCACATAAAATACTTTTTATTAGCATTTACTTACTACTTCTCAATCTTAAAACGGAGGCAAATGTATATGAAATGTCTAGGACAAGGTTTAAATTTTAAACTTTTAAGAATATGTTCCTGAAATGTTCACCATTTAGCTAAACTCTAGTTACTTTTCTATCTTCACACAAACCCGCAACGAAGATCTAGTATCTTGATCAATCCAAGTGAAAGGAAAAACTTTTATTTTTCAATGTGTCTCTCTTATTTCCTAATTGCAATTAAAAAATTGTCTATCTAAGTTTAGTTGTGACTTTCAAACTTGGATTTTAAAATAGAAAAGGGAACTATAACACTCTTCCTAGTGTTAAGTCTGACAGTTTAGGTGTGTTGTCATTAGTGGAGTAAGTAAACAAACTCTGACTTTATCTAGCCCAGGTTGTTTTACACCTAACTGATTTTATTAATGAGATCTTGTTCAGCCCCTCCAGTGTGTTGGCTAGAACACTGAGCTGGATGGCCTGTGTTTTATTTAGATCAGCACATTTTGTGGCTATGGGATGGTTAACACACTTCCTTGGGGTTCTGGGTGGTGGAAGCAAGTAAAATTTTACTAGGTGGCCTTAGAGGGAACCCGTGGTTTTATACTACTTCCAGGAGAGGAAGAGCAACAGGGAGCGACTTGATCCTGCTGGAGACATTGTCCAAGGGTGCGTTAACAGGAAAGGATGTCCAGGACAGAGCTGGCCAATTCTGCTAGAGGCCAGCTGACATTCATGTGGTTTATCTAGATCATCCCTATGAATGTCACTGAGGAAACAGTGTTTAACTTCTTAAAATATCTCCTACAAAACTAAAAGGAAATTGCACCAAGTATGGCATCTGGGAGTGAGGTACACAGCTGCCAAAGACAGGAAATCTAAAGTAAAGCTGCCTCCCCCAACCATTAGATTCCTTTAAAAATAATTCAGATTCTATGATAATCTAAATGAATACAGTCAGAGAGATTCTGAATTTCATTGTTTTCTAAGCAGTCTAAGCTAATGTGTCTCAGATTTTCCATTGGTGGTTGGTGTGATGATGCAAATAGAAGGAACAGGTTGGTGATTTGTATTAAAAAAAGACGTAGAACAACTTCCAATTGGTTACAATTTACAGTTGGCCAAGGAGTAAACACAACTTCTAGACTTGCCAGCCTTCTCAAATTGGCCATTTTTATCTCTCTTCCTGCGCTAGTTGCTCAAAGCCATATCCAAAAGTACCCTGACACAAAACCACTGAAGGGTGTGGTCTCTGCTTGTCCTGGGCAATGAACAGGGAAGCTATTTATGTCTAGGGCATCTCTATTCAGTGACTCATGTTTCGACTGGAAAATTGGCCACAGCTTTCTAGCAGCTCTTTCCTGCCAGCTCTCCTGGCATGCTACCCAATGCTTCCACTGCCCCACCCTCTCTCTCCTTGCCCAGTCTGCTTTTATATTCCTGAAGCCCCCACTTAATAATAGTCATTGTTCCATGTTAACCTTGAGGATCTGGGAGAAAGGACAATGAAGGGCATAGCTGTATGCTGTAATGAGCATTTGGCGCTATAGCAGGTGGAAAAGGCTTTGGGGATCTGGGCAGATTAGGAGGAGAGGGGGCTCTAGCAGATGTTGAAGCAAGATGATGTATTGCTGCTCACTCTGGGATTCAGACAATACCAGTGCAAAAGTAGAATAGGGAAAAGGGGAAAAAATTGATCCCTTCTGAAACAAACTGCACTAGAAACCAGACACACTTGAAAGTGAGCATTTAAGAGACAAATTTGTTGCCAGGCCCTGGGTTTTCTCCTGCCTTTTCTTTCTCTCTCTCTCTGTCTCTCTCTTTCTCTCTCACTTTCTCTTTTCTGATAGCATATCAATTGCCAAATTGTCCTTTTAATTAGATTGTTAACTACATCCAGGGCTGGACATATTTCCTATCAGTTTAAGGTTCTTATTAATATGACTTTTTTGCACCAAAAAAAAAATAGCAGTGGATGGATCAAGAATTTCATTTTCATTTTAGCCTTATCTGAGAACCAGGAAGCCATGTTAAGCAAAGGCAAATGCCATTTAAATGATGATTAGTTCACCATTTGAAGAAATATATATTTAAAGCTGTCCTTTTGCACTGAGCTAGGCAATTAAATAACAAAAATGTTGACATTAACAAATGCTTCATTCACTTTATAAAGAATAATACAAATAAACCTTAATCTTAATAGGTTTGTGATATTTTCAGTTCTGATTTTTAATATTTATTGCAATATGTTTTGTAAAATTCTAAAAATAAAGATAGATGAATTACCTACTGTAAGATATGGTTTGCACAATTATTCATATATATGCATTCACACACATGTATATAATACATTCTGGGTGTGGAATGAAAGCCAAAATCCAAGTATTCATCAAATGTAGACAAAAAAAAATCACAATCCTTAAATGTTGATAACACTGAAAACAATTGTGGACAAACATATTTCAGAGAGTGGTATATATGAAGGTTTGGATTGTCAAAAATTAGTCCTAGGAATTTTAGCTTCCCTTTTCCTCAGCACTCAATACATTTACTCTACCACATCAATTTGAATAAAAACAGGAACAAAATCTATTGATATTTCACCCATAAGAAAGACATTAGAAGCTAGAGATTGTAACCTATAACTTTTATCTACTTGGCTACATTGTCTATGACTAGATTTACTTAGAGACCATCTTTATGATAGGAAAAAATGATAGAGCAAATAGAGAAATAATGATGAGAAGAATTTTCCTCTTTCTAGTAACAGTTAATTGACTAGAAAGCCTGTTTGTGCTCATCATATATTATTTAGATTTTATTTAAACAGTAGCAGTTAAGTCGAGTACTACTATTTACATTGTCATAAATCTGATTTGAATAAAGTTTCATAGATTTTGTGTCTGCACTGCCATATCTACAAAGCAGTAAAAGGCACTAGCTGGGTAGGTAGTTATCAAGAATGACAAATATCCTAAAGTTGTTAAATCTCCCATTCTGAGGAGTTGAAGTGGGAAATGGAGAGATTATTCAACTCTATCAACATCTGATACAGTAATTTGACTTACTTAATCATTATGTCTCATCTTCCATTATTAATTTAAACAATTTTGGAATTTATGTATTCACGAATCAGACTTGTGTGATAGTAAATACGCATTAAAAATAGTATTTTGTGGAATATTTCAGAACTTGTACTTTTTACCATTTGTTCTTAGGCAGGTAGAATCAAGTAGTTCACTAAGGCTTGAATAATAGAGGGTAAACCTCCTAGTTCTAAGATGTCTGATATCTGCTCTGTAAAAAAATAAAATAAAATCACCCAAATTTCACTACAATAAAACAAGAGCCATTTTATTATGCTCAAACAATCCATGGGTCAGAACAAGGCAGAGTGGATATGGCTTATTCTATTATCATGCTCTATGTCTGCAGCATTAATTGAGGAAACTCAAATGATGGAGATTACCAGTGTTGCTGGGGTGTGGAATGAGCTAGAAGCTCGTTCATTCACATAAATGTTGCCTGGTTGGAATACCTCCAAATCTGAACTCAGCTTTGACTGTCAATGGAGTGCAGCTTGTGACCTCTCCATGTAGTTTGAGCCTTTCAAAAAATGAAGTGTGGCTACCTACAACCAACTGATTTTCAAAAAGTCAACAAAAATATGAAGTGGAAAAAGGACACTCTATTCAGTAAATGGTACTGAAACAATTAAATAGCCATATGCAGAAAAATGAAACTGGACCCCTATCCTTTACCATATATAAAATTAACTCAAGATTAATAAAGACTTATATGCAAGACCTGAAACTATAAAAATCTTATAGGAAAAACTCTTCCAGACTCTGGCATAAGCAAAGATTTTATGACCAAGACCTCAAAAGCAAATGCAACAAAAAGAAAAATAGACAAATGGGTCTTAATTAAAGAGCTTCTGCACAGCAAGAAAAAATAATAATAATAATAAACAGAGTAAACAAACAACTTACAAAATGGGAAAAAATATTTGCAAACTATGTGTCTGACACAGAACTAACATCCGGAATCCAGAAGCAACTCAAAACAACTCAAGAAGAAAAAAACAATCCCATTTAGAAGTGGACAAAGGAAATGGACAGACACTTCTCAGAAGACATACAGGTGGCCAACAAACATGAAAAAATGCCCAATATCACTAATCATCAGAGAAATGAAAATCAAAACCACAATGAGATGCCATCACACACCAGTCAGAATGGCTGTTATTAAAAAGTTAAAAAGCCACAGATATCGGTGAGGATGTGTAGAAAAGGGAATGCTTATACACCGTTGGTGGGAATGTAAATTAGTACAACCCTTACAGAAAAAAATATGGAGATTTCTCAAATAACTAAAAATTGAACTACCATTCCACCCAGCAATTTCACTACCGTGTATCTACCCAAAGGAAATCATTATATCAAAAAGACACCTGCACTTGTATGTTTATGACAGCAGTATCTGCAATAGCAAAGTCATGGAATCATATAAGTGTCCATCAACAAATGACTGGATGAAGAAAATGTAGTATATAAACCCCATGGAATACTCTGCAGCCATAAAAAGAATAAAATCATGTCTTTTGCAACAACATGATTGAAACTGAAGGCCATTGCCTTAAGTGAAATAACTCAGAAATAGAAAGTCAAATATCACATGTTCTCACCTATAAGTGAGAGCTAAACAGTGGATATACATGGACATAGAGGGTGGAATAATAGACACTGAGTATTTCAAAAGCGGGGAGTGTGGGAGAGAGGTGAGGGTTGAAAAATTACCTACTGGGTATAATGTTTACTATTTAGGTGATGGGTACACTAGAAGCCCAAGCCTCACCATCATGCAATATATCCATGTGACAAACCTGCACATGTACCTCCTGAATCTATAAAATTAAAATTAAAAATGATATATGAGATCTAAAAGAGAGTAGCTGGAAAGGAAATATCCAGAGGGTGATCTGTCTATGAGACCAAGGAAGAAGCTGCAAGGCTCCTTCTGACCTGGCCTCAAAATTCATATGTCATCCTTCCAGCCTCATTTTATTGATTTCAGGAGAGCCACTAAGGCCAGCACAGGTTCAAGAGAGAGACTCCACAACTTGATCAGGGAGTGGCAAGGTCATATTGCAGAGGAGCCTGTAAGATATGGTATAGGAGTTTCAGCTGTCTTTGGAAAATGCAATGTGCAAGTTGTCTTTCTCACAACATATATTTATCAGGTTTTTAATTAAATTTTTAAGCCATAATTTATGTAAAAATCTGAGGATAAAAAATGTGCATATAAATGTAATAAACAAGTCTAAATATCTGTATATTTCTAAAGCACTGGTAGCTGGCTATGGTACTAAAAATGTATTCTCTGAAATCTGATAAATCAGTTTGAATCCCAGTTTTGCCACTCATTAGATGTAGGCATGGATAACTTTCTAAAATCATTGAAGCCTGATTTTTCGTTTACAAAATGGAGATGAAAATAATACACACTTCACACAATTATTAAGATAGAGTGATATATTGCATTTAAACCATACAACTATCAGGCTATCCAAAAATGTCCGTTGTCTATATGGGTGTAGGCTTTGTCTGTGATGATGAAATAGGAATGCAGACATTTCTACAGATAAATCAATAAAAGTATTGAATTGGTATAATTCATGACAAATGTTCTAAAGTAGTACAATGCTTTATTTTAATACTTAATATTAAAATTGCAATGTCAATTTTTCTGAGATTTATTGAAGCCTTTAGTAGTATGATGAATCTTCAAATCATGTAGTTCTGTGTATACAGACTACATTTATTGTCCCATCCAGAGCTATTAAGTCAATATTCATCTGTTTAATGACTATTGTTTAAGCCAGGCCCTAGTGATACACTGACAATCAAGGCAGTCTTTAAAAAAACAAAAACAACAACAAAACAAAAGCAAAAAACCGAGTTTATAAATTGTGAGAAGAAGAATTAACTCTTCTATATGGGAATGGGTATTAATTCTGTTATATAGGAATGATTAGGAGGGATTAAGATGAAGGGGCTAACAGATATAAGAAAACTCATTCACTCATCACTAGATATTTAAGTGAGTGACCATTATAATGCAGACTATGTGGTAGACAATAGAATATAAAGATGATCAAGGCACAATCCCTACTTTAAAGGAGTTCGCCTATGAGGAAAACTGATACATTGAAAGATAATTCTAAAGCAAAATTTTAGTCAATAATAACTTAATTGTACATTTTAAAATAATTTAAAGAGTGTAATTGGATTGTTTGTAAATCAAAGGATAAATGCCTGAGGGGATGGATACCTCATACCTCCATGATGTGTTAATTTCACACTGCATTCCTGTATGAAAACATCTCATGTACTCCATAAATATATATATCTACTATGTACCCACAAAAATTATAAAGAAATAAATAAGTAAAAATAGTAGTGTGCCCAAGTCAGGTTATGTGGTGAAGGCTTCCTGTAAGAGGTGATGCGGAAATTTGGTATCCAGCACGATTATGAAGTAATTTGATGAAATCAAGTAGGAGAGAGGAGTGGGGGGAAAAGGTCATAAAACTTTCTTTCTTTGAAGGTTTCCTCTGAAATTGTGCTACTTGTCTGCATAAACATGATAGAGTATGTGGTGGACATTTTGCCCAGATCATGAAGTTTTACCCAGGTCATCTTCCAGAGAAGTACTCTTGTCCAGATACTGGGTATGCTATTGACAGGTAACCTTTAGCCATCAGCCCCTTCTAGAAATTGCCTCAGCTAGGCAGAGTCACCTCATCCAAGGTCAGTCATGGAAAGCCAACATCCATGACTGATGAGGGCTTGTGTATAAAGACTTGGCCATTTTTGCCCACATGAGGGAACACTGAAGGGCCATTTCAGCTCCAGAGCTCCCATTGAGAAGGCTGACCTTGGGTCTATGATGCAGTTCAACTTCTCTCTGCTTCTTTCCTTCCCTTTCACAGCTATTGATCTCAAGAGTTCTCCTTAATCAATATCCTCCACCTCTGCCTTTGATTCTGCTTCCTGGGAAACCCAACCTATGACATTATGTTAAATAGAATAAATTTCAAGAAATTTAATTGTAAATTTTTCTTTGTCTACTGGATCCTTATAATATGAGCATTTCCCTCACTTTGTGTTTTTAATAGACTACTCAAATATTAGTCACATCAGTCTTCATTGTAAAAATAATTACTCAAATTTGGTTGAAAAATATTACTTAGAAAGCACAGCAGTAAGCTGAGTTTTAGTCATGAATCTCTCATCTATTTATCATTTGATCATATTTTTGGATAGCTGCTTGCCAAAGCTAAAAATTTTAATCAGAGCCATTTTTGAGTAGGAAAAGCAGAAAGGATGCCTTTGAAAGCAATAATTCTTTTTTTGTTCTTTTTACTCTTATACAATTTAAAAATAGTCAACTGGATTTTAAAATTTTAAATTGATAAATAAAACTGCATTTGATCCTTGCCAAGTTGACTCATATATTTTATGGATGAAATTAGATTAATTAAGATACTATAAATTCCATGAAGTTATTTATTTTACTCTTCAGTTGAATAGCAAATATTAACTTCGGTTACACAATGAACATGAGAGAGAATTATCTTGAGAGGTTTTACAATATTTATTATGATAATTTGTTTTGTTGCATTTACATAATATTTTAAAATACTGTGTAGTCTTACAGCCCAATCCTTCCATGCATACTCACAATTAGGGCTTGTTTCTTGATGCCGGTATGTAATCATTTGTCCCTTATACTCCAATAAAAATACAGTGGAAGAAGCACAGCTCTTTGGCTTTGCTATGTTTCTTTTGGTTGCTATTGAGGTGGCCCTCATTTTTCCTTCCTTCTTTGCGTTAGTCTTTTCTAAAATAATCACAGAGTCCATGTGAAGGACAATAACAACAATAATAATAGCTAATATTTGCTGAATTCACACTATATGCTTATCATGGCTCTAATTCCTTCACATGTATCAATTTATTTAAGTCTCATAATAAAACTTTGGCGTTATTATTTTCCCCGTTTTAAAGAAAATAGACAACCCTTATCTAGAATGAGGGAGAACTGCTATAAAACGTTGTACATCATGATTACTTCTATTTTGGGGATTACGTATAACTTCTAGCTGTTAATCAAATGAGAAGCATAGCTTGTGCGTCTGTTAGGGGAGGTAAAAAAAACAGAAAATTAATATAAATGTTTCAACCTCTTCTGAATATGACGTAAGGAATTTATAAAGGAAGAAACTGAATCACAAAGTGGCAGATGTTTTCCTGAGATCTCTTTAATATGAAGAATAGTATAGTTAAGCATGGTTATGTGTGTTTATGTTTCTGTGCTTGGGGAATGCTTAAAAATGGAGAAGGAATTCATCAAATTGTCCAAGTAGCTGCCCATGGGTACTGGAGAATGGAGTAGGTTCTCATTTATCTAATTTTCACACTTTCCAATTTTCTATAAAGAACACGTATTATGTATTTGAAATACTGAATTTGAAAGAATGTTAAATGCCAAAACCCTACTTCCATAAATATTTATCTGATATTTGATGTTATTTCCCTCCTATATGTAAAATTTTACATAGTTAAGTTTATGAATTATATTTGCTTTCAAAACTCATTTTTCAATTAAACATTATTTATTTATTTATCTATTATCTATATTGTGACAAACAACTATTGCCCTGATTCCTCACATCCAAAGAGTAACTCCCTTCTCTCACCCTATAGGATTATAGGACTGTGTATGTCCTACACACACATTATATGTCCTACACGCACAGTGATGAGGAGTGACAAAATGAAGACTCCAGAATCCTCTTTATCAGATCCTGAATGTGGTAGGAAATGTTAGGCCTCTAATGCATTTATATACTTTCATAGTTATTCATATTTTAATTGGGAAGTTAATATTACTAGTATTGTTAATGTATAATTTAAAGTCTCATTATAATGCAATTTTCTCATGCCTTTTTTTTAGCACTTTCTGAAGTGAAGTCCACTATGTGCTGGGCACACAGAGAATAGAGCATGAAACAAAAGCAACATGACCCTGCCCTCACCAAGACTACAGGGAGTGATGGAGCATACAACTTTGTTTCAGAATGCAATTCAGATCTTCCCTTTCGCTTGGCTTCTTAAAACTTCTTTTGAGGATGGTAAAATTTCGTGTTATATTAAATTTCATCCTGTAACTGATACTCTGGGATGATGTTGGCCAATAACTAGCAAGACTTTAAATAATCAACTAGTTTAGGCATTGCTTAGCACGCTCCAGCTGACTTCACAAGTAAAACCATGTGAAGAAAGAAGGTTTTCAGGTAACACAGATGGAGGTGATGATCTTTCTCATTTTGTGGAAAATATTAATTTCTCATTTTTTATTCACTGACAATTAGTAAAATTCCTTACTCTACCTAATATGTAGACTTCTGAACTATGTAAGTAAAACTTTATAGTAACTGAAAAGTTTGGGTATTGTATTTTCTTGGAGAAAATGTTAGCTTCCCTCTGTTACTTTTAAATGTTAAACTTTTAATGAATTTCATCAATGTATAATAATGGGCATAATGATCCACTCTGAAATATTTACTGTCATTTTGAATTTATTCTTGAGTCATCACAAACGTGTACATCTCTTATACCTTCATGGATGTTATTGGTGAGATGATCTCTTGTTGTCAACACCTTGAGGATAGGGACTTATTCAGGCTCGCCTCTAGCAAGTGCTAAGTGCCTGGGAACACATAATAAATATTTCATGATAGGAGGATGTTAGAATAAGAGGAAAAACCAGATTCTTACCCAAATAAATAATATTTATTATATTCTTATTTGTATATCATTGTAACTGTAAAAAAAAGTTGCCTAGGGATTTGTTTTATTTGTACAAATACTTGTTTTTTGTATGTAAGAGTGCCAAATATAAAACTGCATAACATTTAGAAATTACAGAAATGTGTATATATTTATATAGAGACAAGAAAAATAAAATTTTCATTCTATCATATAGAAATAACTACATTTGAAGTTATTTCCCTCCTATATGTAAACTTTTACATAGTTAAGTTTATACAATATATTTGCTTTCAAAACTCATTTTCCAATTAAACATTATATCCATTAGAATGTTCATGACATCCTTTATTTATGCCTTAAAATTTTTTTAAATACGGTAATGTATATGTCTACAACCATTTCTGTTATCTAAAATGTGGGGCTATTATTAATAATAGTAATTGCAGTCATTTCCAGAGAGAGTTTGTTCTGTGCTAGACATTGTGTACTTTTTACAACTAATTTGTTAGGCTAGTTACTACATTTAATTTCAAGTGAAAGAGTTTAACAGAAGTTAAACAGGCCAGGCGCGGTGGCTCACACCTGCAATCCCAGCACTTTGCGAGGCCGAGGTGGGCGGATCACTTGAGGTCAGGAGTTTGAGACCAGCCTGGCCAACATGGTGAAAACCCATCTCTACTGTTAACACAAAAATTAGCAGGGCATGGTTGCATGCACCTGTAATCCCAGCTACTTGGGAGGCTGAGGCCGGAGAATCGCTTAAGCCCAGAGGTGAAGGTTGCAGTGAGCCAAGATTGCGCCAGTGCAGTCCAACCTCGGCAACAGGGCAAAGACCGTCTGCCCCTGCAAAAAAAAAAAAAAAAAAAACTAAAAGGAAAAAAAAAAGTTAAACGTGTTTCATAGTGGAGTCAGAATTTGAACACAGGCTTTACCTCATTCTCAATATCAGTCTATTAACCACTTTGCTGTTTTTGCTCCATATTACATATATCATGATATGTAAAATATTTGCTCCATATTACATATATCATGATATGTCGATAAAAATCTTTGTGGTATAGGCTTTGCACACATTTTCGATTATATCCTGAGATATATTGTCAGAAATAGAATTACACATTCAAAGGGTGAACCCTTATTTGAGGCTTTTAATACATTTGTTCAAATTATTTTCAAAGTGTGTTCATCATATTCACATTGCTATCCCAGTGTAGTGGATCTTAGTATTGGTTATTTTCACTGTATTTGATATTTGTTAATTAGATAGGACAAAATGTATTTTATGGATTTAACTTTCATATTTTTAAAAAAATTTTAGACATATCAAATATCTTTAATTTATAAATTAGCTATTTGTATTGTTTCTTGTTTGACTATTTTGTTATACCGCTTAGTTTGTTTTTTGCTCAGGTACTAGTGTTAATCCTACTGACCTTTAAACTCTTGATATATTTAGGAAGTTACCTTTTGTTGATATGTTTATTAACAAACTTTTATATACCCATTCCTAGATGTCAAGTACAGTTCAGGCCACCTTATATTTATTCCTCATAATTACCCTTGCAGGTAGGTACTATCATTATCCCCATTTTTACAGGTGAGGAAACTGAAGCACAGACAGAGTACATAACTTTCCTCAGGTCACAGAGCTAGTAAGTACGGAAGTCAAACACTGCCAGGCTGGCTTGATCAATCGTGACTAAGTATGTCTTGCAAATATTTCCCAAACTTTACACTTTCTGTTCTATTTGGTTTATTATTACATGTATTACAAACTAGGTTTCATATAATCAAATCCATTGATTTTAAAATACTTTCTTTTCGGTATACAGATTATTTCTCAAGGCCAGGTGTGGTGGCTCATGCCTGTAATCCCAGCACTTTGGGAGGCCAAGGCGGGTGGATCACAAGGTCAGGAGATAGAGATCATCCTAGCCAACATGGTGAAACCCCGTCTCTACTAAAAATACAAAAATTAACTGGGAATGGTGGCATGTGCCTGTAGTCCCAGCTACTCAGGAGGCTGAGGCAGGGGAATTGCTTGAACCCGGAAGGCGGAGGTTGTGGTGAGCCGAGATCACACCACTGCACCCCAGCCTGGGCGACAAAGTGAGACTCTGTCTCAAAAAAAAAAAACAAAAAAACAAAAAAACTACTTCTTTATATGGGAAGGTAAGCAAACAACTACACAAAGACATTTTGTCAGGTATGGTTTATGTCATTATTGTTTAGAATAGCAAAACATTCAGAAGCAACTTAAATGTCCATCCACTGAGGTGTGATTAAATATATCATGATACATTCATACACAGATCTTATGCAGTCACAAGGATGAGAAAGCTGAATATATATTTCTATTGACACAATTTAGTCACTGCATATTGATAAAAAGGAATGCTTTTGAAATAGAAGCTCACCTATGTTTTAAAAACATATGTGTTGTAAATACATGTTTACCTCAATCTATTCATATATGAGTAGAAGTTCGTGCTTGGCTGCTTATCTCTTTTTGAAAACATTTTTAACAGAGAATGGATTACTGGTGAAAAAATACTTTTTCCAAAAAATTTAAGGGCTGAATTCTAGCCCTAACTTTCACTAATGCACATGGCTCTTTGATTAAAATCAAGAAACACTCTTATTTTTTTAAGAAAAGGCTTTCTTTACTAAGAGATCAAATAAATATTCACTTTCTGGCTGATAGTTTTTCTGAAATACACATGATTGCTATTTTAAAAATATCTTTTTGTGTCTCTTTAGATATCTCTTAATGCACTCTAGGTGTCAAATATGAGCAATCTGTTTGTAGGAGAGAATGGCTCCTTGCTCCAATAGGTAGATCTCTCTAAGAATCCTCCTAACACACTATTGTTAACTTATAAATATGCTCAGGCACATAATAGGTACTTAGTAAATATATGTTGACTCTTGAATGAAGAGCTGATTGGAGTAATGAAAACAGCCTGTGTTAGTACCCTGACCGAAGTTTAGACTTAATCCCCATATAGATAATTTCAGAAATACATTCTTAGGGCCAGGCTTGGTGACTCACACCTGTAATCCCAGCACTTTGGGAGGCCGAGGTGGGTGGATCACGAGGTCAGGAGTCCAAGACCATCCTGGCTAACACAGTGGAATCCTGTCTGTACTAAAAATATGAAAAATTAGCCAGGTGTGGTGGCGGGTACCTGTAGTCCCAGACACTCGGGAGGCTGAGGCAGGAGAATCACTTGAACTTGGGAAGCGGAGGTTGCAGTGAGCGGAGATCGTGCCATTGCACTCCAGCCCGGGCGATAGTGAGAGACTCTGTCTCAAAATAAAAAATTAAAAAAAAATATATATATATATAATTGGAATAATTATGAAACATGTACATACATGCACCAAAATGTAAGCTTGATGGTAAAGATATTTATTGATTAGTCACTGCTGTATCATTAGGACCGAGGTCACTGTCTGACAATAGATACTCAATAAATATTGTTTAAAAAAGTAAATTAATAGTTTACATGCTATATAAAATAACCCGCTTATGTAAAATAAACCATTTTTTCAAATTACTAGAAAGTAAGGTTAGTTTTATTATAATTATCTCACAGGTTACTAAACTAAAACTGATAGAATTTAAGTAACTTGCCCAAGCTTTTACAGTTGGGAAATGCTAGATCTGGGATCTAAAGCTCCTGGGATCTAAGTGTGATCTTAGAGTTCATGTAAGCAAGCTGTACATCCTTTCTTTACATACCACTCTGGGGCTGTGAGGAAAAAGAGACTATAATAAATATTTTGCACTGTTTTATTGCTACTCAAATGTCCTTTCATTCATTCATTTAGCAAATCTTCATGGAATGCTTACCATGTGTCTTTTTTAGAAACTGGGATTGGATTACAATGGTTGAAAAAAAAAATAGGTGAAGTTCCCCATTCTAATGGGGAAGGAAAGAAACAACAAATGTGCCAACTAGGGACTAAAAAAGGTAATTTAAAAATCTGATGATTGTTCTGAGGAACCTTTAAATGGGTTGATCAAGGATGGCTCCAAGAAGGGAAAATTCTCCACTGGAAGCTCTGGGACAGACTGTTAGAGGCAGGACCAAATAGCAAGGGCAATAAACCCAGTGTGTTTGAGTATTTTGAAATGGCTGGTGTGCCTGGAACATAGTGAACCGGGGGAAGTGGGAGCCAGATGGCAAGTCCTTCAAAGTCATTTTTATTTATTTGCAATACTTAAAGCTTCCAGAGAATGGGTGTTTGATTTGGGCATTTTAAGCTGATTTAAGCCTACTGAGCAACAATTAAAAATCATTTAACCTCTCTACCCAAACATTTGAGTTATTTCAATTTTCAATGATGCTTTAAAATATGAAGAGGAAAAATAGAGATAGTATAAGTTAACATTATGAACCCTGTGAAAGAAGAATTCAAAATAAATCACTAGGGATGTTAGACTGGCTAAAGAAAAGGTTGCTTAATACTGGCATTGGCTTTCAAGAGAAATCATGGAATCTCCCCTCTGGAGATAGTTTAAAATAGGATTAGATATATTCACTCAGTGCAGCCTTGCCTGAAAGCTCCATTGACCTCCCAAGGTCTTGCCAGTCCTGTGATTCTGTGATAAAATTAGACCCTTTCATTGGACAAAAACAACCCAGGGTTCACCATGCCAGCTGCAACCTGGAATAATTGGAAGGAACTGATTTTGGAGTAGTATACCTCCTAGAGTTGAGACAAGATGCAATTAACAGATCCCCAAACCTCTCCTATTTCATGCTGTACTGAGTACTCTGCTGGTTCTCAGCCAATAATGGCTGGTATCAATGATACAAGCAAAGTCAAATGGTCTGATCCATGATTAAATAGTAGATGTCTTTATTAGCTGCTGACCTTGCTTTGAACAGTATGGCTTCAAGAATTGTGTGCCTATTAGCTGATTCTTTAATCCCTGAAAATAGAAACCAGATGAATCCAATAATGCATTTTTATTTGGCCTCTTTTCCACCATTCTCAAGACGAAATAACTCAAGTTCCTATGCCATGAGCCTTAACCTCATTAAGCAACTCAGCTCAACAGTTCAGATACTTAATCTGCAATATTTACCCATTGCATTTTCTCATTTAACAATCACTGCTTTGAAGAAAAATTCAAGTAAATATATATATATATATATATATATATTTCTTTTTTGTTTTTTCCTGACATTCTCATTTAGAGGCAAATAGGCAGTGACTAGAGCACAACTCTGGAGTGAGGCAGACCTGGGGTTAAAGCTGTCTCCTTGTGACCTAGAATGTAATTATTAACTTGAAGAAGTTTCCAATCTCTGAGGCTTGCTTTATTTATCTATGTATTAGGGATAATCTTATTACCCACCTCATGGACTTGATATTAGGATTAAATTAGCTAATATATAATAACATACTTCTCTTTCTTCATCTTCTACATTCTTCTTTATCCCATCTCTGATGATTATGTTTTCTTGCTTACTGTTTTTTCTTTCACTTCCCACCTTCACCATCTGCTAACACACACACACAAATACACACAAATCCAGATGTGAGTCCATGACAACAGGGACCCTCTGACAGTGCCTACAAAGAGTTACACATAAATATCCCTTGACATACATTTGTGGGGTAAAGGAAAGCATCAAACATTTTGCACACTGGTACCTGGTATATGATGAGCATTCTATGAAAGGTTAACTGATTTTTTTTTCTTAGAAATAACAGATTCAGCTATATCTATCAGTTTATTTTGTCATCTGAAGCAGCCTGCTGTCAAGAGGAAAGTGAGAGGAACATGCACAGTGGACAGAACTTGGTTCTGGCTTTGTAACAATAACGTTACTGTATTTTATTTATTTTTTGAGACAGAGTCAGTCGGTCGCTCAGGCTGGAGTGACATCATGGCTTACTGCAGCCTCAACCTCCTGGGCTCAAGTGATCCTCCCATCTCAACCCTATGAGTATCTGAGACTACAAGCATGCACCACCATGCCTTGCTAATTAAAAAAAAAATTATTTGTAGATAGGGGGTTTCCTTTTATTGCCCAGGCTGTTCTTCAACTCCTTGAACTTCTCTTGCCTCAGACTCCCAGAGTACTGGCATTAGAGGCATGAGCCACCATGCTCAGCCACAATAATGTAATTTTGGACAAGCCATTGCATCTCTTTGGTTTCCTTCCATATGTGAGATTTCATATTCTTATTACTATTGCAACTGATTTTTATGCAACTGCACATTATAATCCTTAGTAAAAGGGGTATAAGAGACTAAAGAAAACATGTAGTTATGCTATTAAATGCTCTCAGAACCATCCCCTCACATTCTGAGTATCCTCAGTTAACTTCATTGTAGAATGAGGAAATCAGGAAACAGAGAGATTGAAGAATGCATAAGTATATGAAACATTCCCAGTGAGTATTTTCACTACTTTCCTATTTACCTAGTCACAATCCACAAAACACAAAAGAGGAGAACCCTCAAGCTTGGATCAGCAGGGAGAACTGAGCAGCTTTGTGTTCGTTCTTGGATATATTTGTCTTTCTTGCAAGCCAAAATACCTCCATGTTTGTGTTCTAGAGCAAATGTTTCTTTAGTCTCTTTCATAGAGTTCCCTTTTCTTCTTTATTTACTTTACTTATTCATCATGTCCATAATGTACATTCAGACCTCAAGTATTGGCTAGGACAAGGCTGGGGAGGAAAGCACTTCGTGGCATGAGGTTCACATTTTTGAAAGGAGGATCATAGGACCCTGGAGATTTAGACGTTAACACAGCTCCTTTCCATTTTAAATTGTAAATATTTATGCAAATTCAAGATGAAAGAATATATGCTAGTTTGTCTTTAAACAAGTAAATATCTGAAAAGCTTAAGAAGGTGGGATGGATGCTCATGAAAGGGAAAGGAAAAAGGCAAAAGGGCGGAAGAAAGACGAGAAAATGAAAGACAGAAAGAATGTGTAAAACAGGAAGAATGTGAAAGACAAAATGAAAAGACTTCTCAAACTCAAAATGGCAAGCAATATGATCAACAGGTAGAACTAATAACTAGAAAAGCTGCTTTAAGGGCAAAGTTTTTAATACTTTTTATTTATTTATTTATTGTTATTTATTTTTGAGATGGAATCTCACTCTGTCACCAGGCTAGAGTGCAGTGGCATGATCTCAGCTCACTGCAACCTCCGACTCACTGGTTCAAGCGATTCTTCTGCCTCATCCTCTCAAGTAGCTGGGATTACAGTCACGTGTCACCATGCCCAGCTAATTTTTGTATTTTTAATAGAGAAGGGGTTTCACCAGGTTGGCCAGGATAGTCTTGATCTCCTGACCTCGTGATCTGCCTACCTCAGCCTTCCAAAGTGCTGGGATTACAGGCGTGAGCCACCACGACTGGCCCAAGTTTTTAATAATTTTTTGAAACTTTTTTTTTTTCAGAATTTAGAACTTGGATGGTGATTTGATTGGGGAGATGTTTTGAAAAGGGAAAAAAAAATGAATAGTAGAAATGTCTAAAGATGCTGATTAAGAGGAACAACAAAGCCAGATGGCATAAATGGCATCTTTAGGAATTTTGTGGCATAAGAAGCTATGCTAAAAAGTTCCCCTCTGTCCTGAATGTGGTGCAGTCACACACTGAGCATGCTCTGTGTCCTTAGTTAGCCACATGAACTCACTTAATGTGCTCGACCTTAAAACCTCTACCTTTGTCTTAGCGATTTAGACTGTTTGTTTTTTAGCTGTTTTCAGTACTTCATCAAGCTGATTTTGTTGCCCTTTTAGAAATCTTAATCAGTAAAAGTTGTCTTCTTTGTAAAACAGTTATGGCATATCTATACTCTAGAATTTTAAGCAGCCATTAAAAAGAATGAGGATATCTACATGTATTGAACTTAGATTAGGTTAAAATATCAACTTGCAGAATAATTGGTACAAACCTATTTTGGTTACTAACAGTAACATGTATATATTTGTATCATTATAGCAAGAGGTAGAAAAAAATACACATAAACTACTAGCTTTAGTTTTCTGCAAGACAGAGAGGGTGTAGAAAGCAAAGGGATTATTAATTTTTTTCTTCATATTTCTACATTGTTTATTTGTTATAATAATCATGCATCGCTTTTGTTGTTAAGATAATAATGTGGAAAACTATTTAAAGACTTCCTTACAGTTATTATGTAGGACTATCCCTTTATAAGAACTAATATTTTATGGGAATTATTTGGAATATCATTCATAGTTATTCCCTAAATAATTATCATGCTAGATATTTACTCCATGCATGCTTTAAACACTGAGTCAGATGCTGCAAACTGTCTATTCAATAACCATTCTGCCATTTTCCTTACTATATGAAAGCTTATAATAGTCTCAGAGGCAACATGGCCAGCATAAAAGTAGAACAACAGAACAGAATGAAACATAAGAAAACAGAAACAAACAAGTAGAAGCTCAAATATCCACACAACTAAAAGTGGCGATGATAATAAAATCTGGCTCTGGTGACATAAGCGGAAGTTGTTGTGTGGAACGTGCAGGAGGACTCCTTCAAAAGGAATATGGACAGGGAGTGCACACTTTTCCAGCCTTCTTGTCTCATTCCTTCTTGCTGCCAGGAACAATGACATGAGAACTGGAGCGCTAACAGCCATTCAGATCATGAGGCAACATTAAGGATGAAAACCACACACTGAGGATGATGGAGCAGAAAAAACGGAGAGAAGGAGATTTTCTGACCATCCCATGGTGCCAGTTGACACACCTGGACTGCCTACTTCTGACTCTCTTGTATTTGAAATAATACATTTTGTTGTGTTTAATCACTACTATTTTGGATTTTCTGTTGTATGCAGCTGAATTTAGTTCTAATTGATGTAGACAAGTCTGTCTGTAACTAGATGCATGTGGAAAATAAAACTTTTATGGGAAAAATACAGAATTATGGAATCAAATTCTATATTTTTTGCTTTTGCCGCACAGGCATATTCTTTCCATGCTCCGATCTAGAGTAGCTCACTTGTTAAATCATGATAATTCTGGTTGTGTCTATTTTGCTTCCACTTCTGATGAATAATTGAATATTTAGAGCTGTTGTGAAAGTTTTTGGTCTCTGTCTTTCTCCTGCTAACAATAGAATGTCTTGATGAATTGATTAAGTAAAAATAAAAATGCACTGAGGCAAAAGTGCTACAATCACTTAAACCTGTTTCTAAGGGGTCAAAGTGCTAATTTTTGAAATTCCAGACAACAAAAAATTATCTACTGTAAATAAGAAATCTGAGCTGAAATGGAACACAAGCCTTATTCAATGACATGAGAAAAGACCTGGAAGTAAAGCACCTAATGGGTTCTAATTCCGGCTCTGCCATCTAATCATCATTTGTGCCTGAATGATATTATTTAGCCTATCTATGCCTCATTAGTGAAATGGGATAACTGACCTATAGGGAAAGAAAATATTCGATAGTGAAGTGAAGCATGGTTGAGGGAACTTTGTGAAAGCCTTCCCTCTATGAAAGAAGGTATATTTCTGGAGCAGTTGTGCCCAGTCATCCAGATACTGTATTTATGCTGAAAGCATGATTTGATGCCTGGCAAACAGCAAAGAATGTTTTGAACAAACAATCATTGGCAAAGAACAGAGAAGGTGGCAGATCTTTTATCATGTTTTACTGGTTGTGAGCAGGCAGCACTTTTTCTTCCTCTTCTACCAGTTGTCAATGTCCACAATAATGAGAAGAAACCGTAGTACTAGCTTCTTTTATTAAATAGAAAGTTGTTCCTGCTACATAACTAAAATTGTTGCCCTGAATCTCCCATGCAATCCAATTTCCTGTTTTTAAACTTTGATTAAGCGTACAATGGAAATTATTTTCTTCATTTTACAGATAGGATCATTCAAGTTCAGGGACAAGGAATAAATTGATTAGTCACTAAAGTATTGAATGGCAGAGCTAGAATCCAAAGTAGTTTTTTTCTGTTTTAACAATATTTATTTATTTATTTATTGTTTATTATACTTTAAGTTCTGGAATACATGTTCAGAATGTGCAGGTTTGTTACATAAGTATAGGTGTGCCATGGTCGTTTGCTACACCCATCAAGCCATCATCTACATTAGGCATTTCTTCTAATGCTATCCCTCCCTTAGCCCCCATCCCCCGACAGGCCCTGGTGTGTGATGTTCCCCTCCCTGTGCCCATATGTTCTCATTGTTCAACTTCCACTTATGAGTGAGAACATGCAGTGTATGGTTTTCTGTTGCTGTGTTAGTTTGCTGAGAATGATAGTTTCCAGCTTCATCCATGTCCCTGCAAAGAACACGAACTCATCCTTTTTTATGGCTGCATTGTATTCCATGGTGTATATGTGCCACATTTTCTTTATCTAGTCTAACATTGATGGGCATTTGGGTTGGGTCCAAGTCTTTGCTACTGTGAATAGTGCTGCAGTAAACATACGTGTGCATGTGTCTTTATAGCAGAATAGTTTATAATCCTTTGGGTATATACCCAAAGTAGTTTTTTAACTTTAACACTAGTAGTCTAAACCATACCATATACTGGTATGCACGAGACACAGGGGAGCAAGTTATACCTAATATGCAAGTCTATTAGGGCATATTTAAAGATGTGAGAAATATTCTCTCATTCCATTTCCCTCCAAACTGTATATATGCTTGACAAACCAAATAATCTCAAGTATACAACACACACACAGACAGACACACACACACACACACACACACATTCCCTATTTATAGTTTTTTTTGTTTTTTTTTTTTTTTTTTTTTTTTTGAGACGGAGTCTCGCTCTGTCGCCCAGGCCGGACTGCGGACTGCAGTGGCGCAATCTCGGCTCACTGCAAGCTCCGCTTCCCGGGTTCACGCCATTCTCCTGCCTCAGCCTCCCGAGTAGCTGGGACTACAGGCGCCCGCCACCGCGCCCGGCTAATTTTTTGTATTTTTAGTAGAGACGGGGTTTCACCTTGTTAGCCAGGATGGTCTCGATCTCCTGACCTCATGATCCACCCGCCTCGGCCTCCCAAAGTGCTGGGATTACAGGCGTGAGCCACCGCGCCCGGCCCCTATTTATAGTTTTAAAGGAAAGAAAGAACTAGGTCCTAAGCTTCCAAGGAGGAGGATACATATGAGTATGAGCATTTAAATGAAGATTGAAACTGTGGTAATAATTTAGTAGTGACCCAGGCTCTTAGCCATTAAGGGAATTTTCCAAGCAGAATTTAAGAAAACAATGGGTCAGAAACTCCAGAGGACAACAGGCACATCTGTTTCCTTCACTCCTGGCTCCTCACAGCATATAACAATTTCAGATAAATCAAATGAAGCAAAAATATTTGTAGAAGAAAAAAGGATGCCTGAAACTAATTCTTCTGTCTGTAGGTCAAAGGGCCTTTGGAAACTCTAATAATTTGTGAAACTTAGATGACTCCATTAAGCCATCTAATTCATGTTCTTGGATGTTTAAGATTTGAAATTTAAGATTTCTTTTCCACAGTGATACCTGCAAGACTCTAAGCCCCACCAGGACAAAGAAAAGATGACTTTTCTGTGTTCTTACTATTGTATTCACAGGAATATAATAGTATCTTACCAAGGAGTTTAATGTTGCTAAATTCATAAATCAATGATACTTTGATAAATAATGATCTTACTAAAAGTAAAAAATGTGACTGACTATTAATCGCATGTCATTACCAAGTAACACTATTATCTGATTAAGAAGCTGATAAGCCTTTAAATGCTAATGGCAGATCATATAAGTCAAGAAGGCCAATCTTTGTGTGAATCAAGGTCTAGTTGCCACAATCTCTCTCTGAAATGCAGCAAATTACTTCAATGTAAACAATGACTTCACTACACTAACCAGAAATCTAATGGCTCTGAAGAGTTAATGCAGCTTTTACAAGGGGCTAACTTTATACTTGGCAGCAATTTTGACACTAGAAAGTGTGGTCTCCAACAGAATCATATTCATGTAGAATTAAATAAATTTAAATAAATCTTAGCAGAAAAAATAGGAACGGCTTAGGCCATCAGTCACCCTTTATTTGGGTTTGGATAAAAGGGGGAAAATGATGTTCTTTTTTGTAGCTCTAGTTCAAACACAAATAAGAGCGAAAATTCTTACAGTAATTTGATTAAAATTCCTCTAACTACATGTAGAAAGACATTATTTTTGCTACTCTAACTACATGGTGTGCACACTTCTGAGCTATGGAATTTCCCTGAAGCAGATGGGAAGCCATTTATTTTGGTAAGGGCATAGCCCTTTTTAAGATTTAGATCTGACAGGAGAGCTGTGTCAGCACAAATGAGAGAAAGCTGGTAGCCCTGGAGCAAAGTCTGTCTGCCAAGAGGACCCAGAAGGAGTTTTTTGGGGATTCTGATAAGAAACAATCCTGCAAAAATGAATAGTAACTCAGATCAGTAGACCCTTCCAACTTCTACTAAGAAATAGGATTAAAAATCTAGGCAAATCCAAAGAAATTATAAATCTAGATTTAAAATGACCTAGAATAATTGTTTATTTTGTCTACATGAGTCTTGCTCCCCGGTGACCAGAGACAGGGACCCTTTTGACCAGAATTTCAGACTAAGGTGGATAACTAAACATGTATTAAGTCATATATGTTGGAAATATAATCAACCTGACAACCAAACCCTTAATTTACAGATGAGGAGTGCAAGAGCCAGACAAGAAAAATGAATTGCCTGAGATCACACTACTAGTTGTAAGCACAGATAGAATTAAACCTAGTTCTTAAGTCCCACCAATTTAATGTTGGAAAACTTTAGTCCCGTTTTGTAAATAATTGTACCATGTTTCCTAAGGAAGCTAGTAAATTATAGAAATAAACAATTTCAATTATAGATTTTGGAATTCAATATTGTAAATCATGGAAATGCACACGAAATATACATAAGAAGAATATACAACAATGATGAAAATAAAACAATATTCATGATACTTAGCATTGGGAAGAATTTGCAGCAACTGGAATTCTACACTGGTGGGAATATAGATTACTTCAATTACATTATAAAACTATTTGTCAGTATCTGCTAAAGCTAAACATATAATGCTGTATCACCTAGGAATTCTATTCCAAGCCATAGACTTAAGAGAAATGAAAGCATGCATTTACATGAAGATTTGAGCATGAATGCTTATAGCAGTCCAAATTTCCATTAACAGTACACTGGAGCAATACTTTTTGTTATCTTCATGCCATAGAATCTTACGTGGCCGTGAAAAAATCAAATTATGGCTTTTTACAACAATTTGGATAACTGTCACAGATATAATGATGGATATCTGTCTATGTGTGATATGTGTATACTGTGTATGTGTGTGTGTATCCATCTAACCACTACCCACCCACCAATGCATCCCCTCTTCCCCTTCACACACACACACCATGGGTGTCAATTGAGCTGTACACTTCAGACTTACTTTTTATCCATCACTATATATGTTTATTCCTCAGTTAAAAGTATACATATGGGAATTTATTCTGAACAAAACAGAATAATATGAATTGTTTATATTCTTATTTAACAGTAAGGATACAGTAATCTTTTCAATCAAAGCACAGTGTTTGAACAATTAGGATGAAGTAACGACATATTAAATGGTAAGTTATTTATTTATGCTGCAGCAGCAAAACTGCCCATTCTACTAAAACTAGAGTTGTGATAACCCATTGAAGGGCTATAAAAATCATTCCTTAAAATATCCCATAATTTTTCTGTTCAGAAGGCATAAATCTTGAAATGAGTAATAATAGTTGAGATGACTAAGAAGAGCTGATTAAGGAAAAGATCAGATGACTAAAGGAATTTAGAGAGAAGGCAGTTGTGGGCAGGTGATGTATTGTTAGTCAATATATTCTTTGTTATCCTTTATTATGAGTAAAAACTGAGATAGCTCAAAAAAAAATTTTTAAAGGAAAAACTTTAGGACACATAGCAACTCTATGGGCTTAAGGGTTGGGACTGGAAACTTTCTGTCACTAATGCTGTCACATCCTCCCACCATGTCTCATAATTTTCTTAGGCACCTCTACATAGAGAAGAACACGCCCACAGGTCTAGGAACATGATCTTAGATCATGATCCTATCTTTTAGACCTAAGCATAAGGTTTCAATTTGGTTAAAAAGCCAAACACAATTTTTCTCACCCCACTTTTTCCAAAGGCTTGATCTGCCTGTTGGAATAATGCAGTTATACCAAAATAAGAAAATATAAACCATGTAAGTAAGAAAGTTTGGCAGTTGTCAAGGCCAAGAACTGTGGCTATTCCTTAGTGTATCTCATGTTCCCCCTATTTTATGAATAAGATTAACCCTAGTTTTCCATTTCTATTGAACTCTACTTACTTAATATTTATCTCAATATCTGATCTGACCAAACTTAACTTTTACTTTTCTATAGCACTTTGATACAGCTCTTTGGCCAACAATCCCAGTATATCATGTTGACTGACCAAAATCTATTTCCTTTTCATATCAAAATATCTCCATCCTAGCACTTTGGAAGACTGAGGCGGAAGAATTTTTTAGAGCCCAGGAGTTTGAGACCAGTCTGCGCAACACAGGGAGATCCCCATCGCTACTAACATGTTTTTTTTAAAATTAGTATGGTGTGGTGTTATGCACCTGCGGTCCCAACTACTCGGGAGGCTGAAGTGGGAGGATCTCTTGAGCCTGGGAGGTGAAGGATATAGTGAGCCAAGATCAGAACACAGCACTTAAGCCAAGGCAACAGAATGAGACCTGGTCTCAAAAATAAATAAATAATAAATAAATCAGAAGTCTTCCTCTTGAAGGGTTCTGATATCCCAAAGCTCAGGATATAACTTGCTTTACTAACCATAAAAAATATTTTTATTTGAAGAGGATTCTGCTGATAATGTTGCTATTCCAGAGTCTTACAGAGGTTACTGACAAACCTGTTCCATGATTAGCCAGTGTTTGCCAGTAATTCTTGCCATTTAGCCACCGACTTTTTTCTTTTGAAGGTGCATGATGATCTTTACTCTGAGTCCTTATCTTTGACTGCTATCCAACAAGTCACTCCTATTGCCTGTCTAGCAAAAGGTCTAAACCACTCAAAGTTGTATTTTTAAACATTTTTTTACAATAGTTCTACTATCTGTGCTTAAATAATATTGAGTTTATCTTATGAAAATTTTCAGAAAATGTTGCCATCAGAATTCCTCCAGTGTATATTTATATGTTCAAATATTCAAACAGCTTGAATTAAGAATGGTCTGGAAGTCCTCTAATTTGATTTGCTCCTTTTGTAGATAGGGCACTTATGATACAGGGAAATAAAGTGATTTGTCCAATGCCATGTGGTTTATTAACAAATAGCAACAAGAACACAACAATAAAAACTATGAGACAGTATCTATGCGATGCTTATCAAGTTTCAAGCAGCATGCTAAATTCTATAAGTGAATTATCTCTTTTAATTCTTACAACAAATCTATGAGGTAGGTACTATCACTTCCCTTGTCTGATTCCCCACTCTGAGAGTCTGAGAGTTCTTTACACCAATCTATAAATCTCTTGTTGAGTCAAGGAATGATGATATCCTTAGTGTTGATGTTAATCTTTTTACAAAAGTAAATGATAGAACGTTAAGGATAATAAATGTTTGTTTTTGCCATTTTAAATATCAGTTATGTGGTAGCCATATTATAATTTGGACTCAGTTATTTTCTTAACTTTATCCTGGTGTTATTTTGTTACCGACCTCTGACCAATGTGATTTGTTTTCTATTTTAGTCATAAATTTGTAACCTAAGCTTGACAGTAAAAGCCAGTGGCTTCCATTAAATAATTCTGAGAAAATCAATGATTACATTTTTTATTTTCTGAAATCTGGCTGGTATATGTTAATCCAGAGGTCTTTGCAGAATATGTAAAATGACCTGTTTCATGAGCTTGTAATATAAATGAGGTCATTTCTATTTTTAGTACCAAAATTAATCTCTAGAGCCCTCCCATGCCCATCAGCAGGAGCTCAAGTATCTCTCTTGGGACTCTTCAAACTCCCTGAATATTTCCAGAACTCTGGAGACTTTATCATCCTAAGGGGCCAGTTCTGTTTCACACTTTGGGGAAATAAATAGAAAATCTGATCAATTTAATAGAAGGAAGTTCCCCAATTTCTGTTGCAATCACTGTTCTCAGCCACATTTGTCATTGTAGAATTCTAGTGGACACACACATTGGGATATGAAATTCATCTGCTGCTCTGATGATGCCACTACCATCCTGGCAATACTTTCTCAGGATCTAAAGGGCAGGAAGTTTATTTCCGAAATTTTTCCTTATACCACTATGATACTAAGGGCCAGTTCTCAAATCACTCCTACCTTACCGAATCTCTGCACTGGGAGTAAAACACCACTGTGTCAGTATGGTAGGAAAAAGGGGCCTCAAGCTTGGGCTCCCACAATGTTGTAGTGCCAACATAGATAGACAGCAGAGTCAAACTGCATCAGGTAATTTATGCCTCAGCTACTTAATGGCTGTGTGACCTTGGTCAAGTCATTTATCCTCTCAGTTTTCCTATGGTAAAATGTATATCTTAAAATGCCTACTTCATAGTTGTTTCGAGATGATCTGTGTAAGGTACACAGAAAAATCCTTGACACAATACTATTATTATTTTATTACTATTAAATAATGCTCATTGTCTGAAAGCACACCCAGTATTGGGAGTGGCTAGTAGCTTGAGAAAAACTCCCGACTGCCTTTGCTCTCCAACCCAAGGCCATATAAGTTTTGGGACAGAAATCAGTCACCACTTCAGGCACTCTATGTTGTTTGTTCCTACTGAGATGCCTCTGGGAAATCTCTCCTACCTGTGGACCACTGCTGTCTAACCATCAAAATCTGTTAAAAATGATGAGCTTCTATTAAACCTCGAAAGGAACATGGTGAAGTTCTTGCTCTCTTCTCAAAAGGTTCCTTGACCATTGTACAAATGTTTCCACCTTCTTCCCAGTGATAAACACTACCTATTAAGCAGGCATTCAGAAGGACAATTTTTACCCAAAAAGGAAATCGTGTATACCCTTCCAGGGCAATTGATCCATACTTGCTTCATATTTATAATAGAAAAGGAGACATTAGAAAGACATTCTAGAATCAAAAAAGAAACTCCTCCAAGGCAATTTTCCCTTTACACCAAGATAAAGAAGTGGCTAGTGACTCATACAATACAGACTCTTGCTTTTTTTCTTAAATAGTTTTATCTAAATTAGGTGTCATATCCCCATACCTAATTGCATAGGTTTTCTTTCTTATATAAGAACTCATGGGTGTATCTAAAGGAAATCAGATGGAATGGACAATAGTGTATTAAAAGCAACATAAATAAATTTTTAATATAAGCAGAAAAAGTTGTGCTTCCTTAAAATCATACATATATTCACTCAGCTGTTGCTAATTCAGAGAAGGATTGATTAAAATTTTCCCAGCTAGTAAATAATTCCCAAAAGCTGTTTGCAAAGTTACATTACTGGTAACCTAACCACATCCTATGAAAAAATAAAATTCCCTCAACATCACACCCTTCATCCTGCCTGCATCTCCTACTAATGCACCTAACATGAGGCCTGTTCATCCAGTAAATATTTAATCCACTCTATTTATTATATGCTTTTAATCTGCCTTTATAGTATATCCATTCATTCCCAGTGAGTTCTCTGTATTGTCTCTTAAATAAAAAGGACAAAGGTTATAAAAACTCTATATAAATATCATACACTTCACATGCTCATATTAAGAACTAGAAAGTGTTGATTTGTACTTTATACCAATCTCAGAAAACATCATAAATTGTAGAACGAAAAAGTATTTATAAAAACAATGTTTCTGTTTTTTGAAGGAACTGGAGAAAAAAATGTATCACACTTTTTTTTAGAGGAGAAAAAATAGTCAGATTAATAAAACCATTAGAATTCATTTAGAGTGTGCATGAGTTGAGATTTTCTGCACTCAGAATCTAGGGCTCTCTCATCTAGTTATTTGAGAAGTGATTATTGTTGGTTTATAAAGTATGCTGTGGTCAGTACATTACTTTTAAAGGAGAAACCACATGATCCTTAAGTGTGAAAAGTAGATGTGCATTACTTATAGTATTTGCTTATGACACAACAAAGCATCAACATTACTTTAACTGTCTTTGTAATGTGCTGCTATGATGCCATCAAGAGAACCAAACTTTGGTAGCTCAAGTTCATGGATACCCTATTATAATGCCATTATGGTAGGAAAATGATTTTAGTGCAAGTTAATGGAAACCACATTACACTGGTAAGCAATTTTATTGTAAGTCTATGAAGACCACATTATGATGGTCAAACAATTTCCCTGTAAGTCTGTGGAGACTGCATTAATAATGCCATTATAAGAGCAAAACAATTTCAAATAAACTCTATGGGGACTCATTTCACTGTCATGATGGTGGCAAAATGATTTCAGTATATGTTTATGGAGAACCCTTTACAATGCCATTATGACAGCATTACAATAGTAAAAAGAAATTATCGGGAGTCCATTATAATGCCATTATAATTCCATTACATTGGTAAAAAGAATTCAGAGTAGTTCTACAGCAACACCGCTACAATGGTAACAATTAGGTCATAGAAAATATTAGGGGGCATGACATTTAAAAAGGAAAAAACAGATCTAGGTTTGGAAAGATCAGATTAATGTCCAGAAAGAAATCACATCTATTCACAAAGTTTTACCTTACTGGGCTCATGTAATTTTATAAAAACTCCTTTGCCTCTAGATTATCCAGTTTGTCACCATACCTGGAAGTATTTGTGATTTAAATTAAACATTAAATCCTTCCTCTAAAAGGTCAGTTATTTTTATTGCTTCTAATATGTTGCCACCTCAAATATGGTGCCCCTGGAGACTCTATCCTACCTGTGGACCTCTGTTGTCTAGGTCTTTGTACATTAGAGAAAAATGAATATTCATCCTCAATAGGGAAGAGGTGAAGATCTTGATCTCTTTATTTCCAAAATGTTCCTTGACCTCTATACAAATTTGCTCTACCTCTCCTAGGTGATCAATACTACCTTTTACATGGGTATTCATTAACAAATTCATAGTTGACTAGTGTTAAAGAAGGTTTTGCTACTGCCATCAGTCATTTCATTTCATGAAGATGAATCTATTATATCATTACTATAGATTATATCCCTATATTCATCCAGCTGATTGATAAGCATGGGCTATTGATAAGAATGTAATGTCTATAAGAATAAGCCTGTGAATAATTGCCTTACACAGTAAAAGAAACTTTGCAGATGTGATTAAATTAAGGATGCTGAGATTGGGGGGATTACCCTTGATTATCTGTGTGCTCCCAATATTATCACAAGAATTCTTATAAGTGGGAGGCAGGAGAATTGACAAAGAAGGCTATGTAAAGACAAGCAGAGACTGGTATGATGAAACAGTAAACCAAAGAATGCTGGTGGTCTCTGGAAGTTATGAGAGTTGGGAAATTGATTTTTCTTCTGGAATCCTCCAGAAAGGACCAGTTCTGCTGATTTTAGCCCCATAAGACTGATTCTAAATGTCTTACCTCTACTGAGATAGGAGAATAAATCTGTGCTGTTTTAGGCCACTAACTTTTTAGTAATTTGTTAAAGCAGCAATAGGGAGCTAACACATTCAGTAAAATAGATTTTTTAATCTGCTGTGAAATAAGCAAATTCAAAAAGTTTGTTCTATTAAAAAGACCGGAGTTATCATCTATGTTCAACTTTTACAACATGGAGAATGTAATAATATATTTTTATATCATCCATTTGTTTGCATATCTATCAGCATTGTAGAATATATTTTAAGGAGAACCATTTAGTTTTTTCCACCCTTATTGTGCTGTTCCTTTTGATTCAAGTACGTAATTCTTCAAACAAGACATTTGGAAAAAGAAGAAACACCAAAAACTTTGAAAACACACAGACTGATACTGACATCAGGAAACTTATGAAACTTAGATGAATATTTTAAACTAACGGTATCTCTAGAAATATCTCATTCTTTCTACAAATGTTTGTTCTTTCTTTCCTGGCAAGGCAGAGAATACATGCATATGGAGATATTTCAGGGGCTATGAAAAGAAGAAAAAAAATACAGAGGGTCAGTCACCCAGTGTGGGATGAGGAAAGTGCAAAATTGGCATGGTGTGCAAAAACAAATCACGCTCAGCATGGGTCACCATGCTCATTTACATTCCCTCACCTTCTTTGCAGTTAGGCTGGGGACATAGAAGTGAGTTCTGGCAGACGAAAATGTGAGTGGAAATTTTGTGTCACTTCTTATTCAGGACATTTAGGAGCTAGTGTCCCTCCTACTCTCTTTGTCTGCTACAACCAATTTGAAAATTGTATGATGATAAGGGGACATAAAAAAAAGCCTCAATCCTTGAATTGTTAAGTGGAAAATAGCCTTCTGCTAAACTATGTTGCATAACTTTTATTGTATTAAGCTACAAAGATTTTGAGTCTTGTATGATTTGGTAGTTAGTATTAATTAACTGAACTGATAACATACACGGAGTAAAAAATTTGAAAATTCCCACCCAACATTATTTTTATATTTGGAATTAACCCCAATTTTTCCAAATGTTACAGTATCTCTTCTGCTACCCCTCACCCAAAATGCATGTATCTTTTAGTTTTCATGCCAACATAGAAGAGCAGGCCACAGGAGACATGACTAAGAGAGATGACTCTTCAAAAGGATGTTTGAAACTCGGTAGAAAAACTGGAATCCTGGAATAGCATCATTTCAGGGAGGGTGTTACATATCGAAACATATTTTGTCACTGCTGTTTAATTTGTTTTCTTCACAGAGAGGTGGAGTCAGATTTGAGAGGCAGAAGAAAGTTTCAGAGCAAGGTAAGTTTGGAAGGTCTAACATCAATGTTATTTACACAGGGAAGAGAAGTGAATCTAGTTTAATGCAATTATGGGAGCTGAATTAAGCCAAAGCAACAAGTATTCCAAAGAAAGATTCATTTTAAGACACTTCAGTGAACTTCGGGCTCCATCATAAAGACTCATGCTTTACCGGTATTCAAGGGTGTGCTGGCATGAATGTAAGCCACTAAGCTCTCCCTTCAAGAGAATCTTCTGTGGGGTGACTTATCCACCTGTAGTACCTTGAGATCCACTGTGTCCTTCCTATTGAGGCCATCTTTCTCCTAACACAATCATGGCAGAAAGAATGAGCATAGTGGGAGTTCTTGAGCCAGGACATTCTTGCCAGTGCTAGACTCTAATAAGCAGCTTTTGCTGGGGAACTTCTTATCACTCTGGCCAAGACTTTCTCAGAACTGCTCTCAGTCTACAAGTTCTCCTTTCTCCCCATTCTCTTTTCACAAGCTTTATACCCGCATTGTGCTAGAATACAAGTCTTGCCTTCTTCTGCTCCCTACTACTTAAGCTTCAGAGATTTTCTCTTATCATCAAGGCTTCTTGAGAGTCCTGAACCTACACCAGTGCTACTGGAAGTTGTGGCTGGGACTGGTTCCCTTACCACCCAGAGAGCAATGAGGACACTCACCCTGAGTAGAATGTGAAGCATGGCTAACGCTTGGCACAAACTGGTTGCCAAACTGCTAAAAATTTCACCATTGCTGATGTTGGGAAAGTGTACTAAGAGAGAGAAGGCCCCTTTCTGAAGTGATTATTCAGGTATTCGAGAGATATAGGGGAGAAAAATTCTTAATAGGGGAGCAGAACTCGCCAGTTATTACCAAGCATTATTGATTCCTTTCATAAGAATAATGGGACATGGTTAAACAGTTAAAGTATTAGAACCAGAGGTACTTTTTTCGTAGCTTAATAGAGTTACAGAACTCCGAATGTGTTTAAATGCTCAGCCAAGGCAACAGGACTCTTGTGATAAATTCTTATTAGGAAAACCTGGGATCTTAAAACAACATTTAAGGACTTCTGCATATATGTGTCCTCCACGGATTCTGACTGTGCAACTCCCTACCCCCTGAAATCTCAGAGCTTACAGAGGTATACCATTCCTCCCTACTATAAGCTAAATTTTCTCCCATAAGGAAATATCTTGCTTAGTGTATTAGTCTGTACTCATGCTGCTTATAAAGACATTTTGGAAACTTGGTAATTTATAAGGAAAAAGAGATTTACTGGACTCACAGTTTCACATGGCTGGGGAGGCCTCACAATCATGGCAGAAAGTAGAGGAGGAGCAAAGGCACAGCTTACATGGCGGCAGGCAAGTGTGTGTGCAGGGAAACTGCCCTTTATAAAACCACCAGATCTAATGAGATTTACTCACTATCACGAGAATAGCATGGGAAAAACCCATTGCCATGATTCAAGTACCTCCCACTGGTCTCTCCCACGACACATGGGGGTTATGGGAGCTACAATCCAAGATGAGATATGGGTGGGGACACAGGCAAACCATAACACTTAGGATTCTTCCTCATATAGTAACAGTTGGCCCTCTTGGGAGCAGCCCCCATATAGTCTCATCACTGCCAATCTGAGTAGCTGGGTGAAATCCTAGCATAGCCTGGCTGAGGATATGCCAAGCCTTTTAAAAAGGTAAGATACCAAACCCCAAAGAGCCTAAGAATTAGCTAGGATGTATTAGCAGGAGCCAAAGAAGTACTCCTTAGGGTTGGATTCTAAGGGTTCTTGATAAAAAAGATTCAAAATGAAAGACTAGATAAGCAACAATTCAATAGTTTAGAGCCCCTTGGGATTTGGGATTCAGCTCCCTAGGGAAAGACCCTAGGGTACGGGTGGCTTGTAAAATCCTGAAGAAGAGGTGGCTATTGCTGAACAAACTCCTGCCTGTGTTTCTCCTGATAGATAGCAGGGGAAAGATTAACAGGCTAAGGAAAGTGATTAGGCTGGAATGGGTACATTTTGTGAGGTCAGAATACCTAACAGAAGATTATTCTGTGGAGAGGCTTAGAGAACACACCATTCACCATGGTCAACATGAATGTATTTTTGAGAGTGTATTCTGTGATCATAATACAGCTGCATTCAGTGGTGGCTCTCCCCGCAGGTCAAGGGTGATGGTGGGAGAGTATTATAAGCTGAAGTGTGTCTCACCCCACAAAAATATGCTAAATTCCTAACCCCCAGTACCTCAAAATGTGAGCTTATTTGGAAATTGGGTGTTTATAGAGGTGATCAAGTGAAAATGAGGTCATGAGGAAGGGCCCTAATACAATATGACTGCAAACTACCAGAAGCTAGAAAGAGCCAAGGAAGGAATTCCCTGTAAGTTTCAGAGGGAGCCTGACCCTGCTTCCCAATTTGGGGTACTTTGTTATACAAGCCCCAGGAAGCTAATTCAGAGAGGCATTCATAGAGCTGGGCTTAATAGCCATGGTGGTGATGGTTCCCTTAAGTAATAGAGACCATGTGGCAGGACTTATATGCCAGAAGCTAGGGGACTGGAATTTCCATCAGTAATCACCAGTATCAAAGGGGCAGTCAAGGGAGTTCAACCTTTAGGGACTCGTAGAGCTGGTTGATAAAGCATGGGATCCTTTGAAGCAAATGAGATGTGCAGCCAATGAAGGCACTGCTTAACATCTGAAATCAGAATAAGATGAGAGGAGTAGGAGACCTCACAAAAAAAGTTACAATTACATGCCCAGTTCCTAACCTAAGCCAAATTTCAGATCTGGAATTTATTGACTAGAAAGGTATCAGGCTTCCAGGATAATGCACATGCAACCCAACTGCAAATATATGTCCGCAGTCTTTCTCCAAAGGGATCTATGGCCATTAACTTAGGTGAGTATAAACTGGAGAAAGATGACTAGCCAGGCATTTTGAAGCTTATTGGATATTGTCACCCATAGGCCCAAGGCGTCATCATAGCCCACTGAGGTAATCAATGGAGTCCAGAACATGGACTGGCTTCAAATGGATCCACTGAGGTTACAAATGCAGCTGGTAGGCATTTCCTTGGTTTCCAAGTGCCTTATTGCAAATTGGCATATTTGACAGTTGGAGTAATCCCCATATGAAGTCCTGGTCTATGCGGTGAGAGCTACTATAGTGGGGAAGGCTTAGTACAAACCTCTGAAACTTACCCCCACACACTCCATCCAAGCTAGTTTGTAAAAAATACCTATCCTGGGCTAGGTGCTGTACTTATTGCTACTATTAAAGGCCTAAAGGTATAGGGATAGTGGTTCCTAATTTACACCTTTTAATGTGCCAGTCTGGCCTCTATAGAAACTAGATAGGAACTCCAAAATTACAAGGGACTTGCACAAGATCTACCAATTTGTAGGCTGATTGTAGCTGTTGTGCTGGACAGGGTATCATTGTAGAATAGATTAAAAATGTATTGGATATTATGCTATAATAGATTTGACAAATGCATTTTTTTTTCTCACCAGAAATGAGAGTCAGAAACAGTTCACATTCACACAGACGGGATGGCAATATTCATTTACAGTTTTGCTCCAGTGTTAACTCTCTCATTTTCTGTCCTAATATAGTCTGAGGAGGTCTGCACCATCTGGACACTGGCCAACACCATAATGATCTGTTACATCAACGAAACAGACTGACTGGGAAAAATGGGCAAAAGGTGGCTAACATGAGGGAGAGACCTCAGTAACACAGGAAAGTTCCAGAGGGTGGAAGATAGGCCCTTCAATAATTAGGAGACCTGCAACTTCAGTGACATCCTTGGGGATCTTGGGGGCATGTCAAGTATCCCTTAAAAATAAAAGACAAATTGCTCCATATTGCATCTCTACCAGCAAAGGGAAGCATGGCTCCTGGTAGGCCTTTGTGGATTTTGGAGGCCACACATTCCACACCTAGTTACACAGCTTGGCCCATGTACTGAATGGCATAGGGGTTGCCAGCAGGAAAGGGCTCTTCAGCAACTCCAGACTGTAGTGTGAGCTGCTTTGTCACTTGGAATTACAATCCTGTAGACCTATGGTGTTGCAAGTATCTGCAATGGGGAAAGATACAATTTGAGGATTATGGCAAGCTGCAGTGCAAGAATCCCAAAGCAAGCCCTTGGGATTCAGGAGCAAGGCTATACCATCAGCAGTAAAGAAATACACACTTTTTGGAAAATATTTTCTGATATATTATTTGTCCTTGGTATAGATCAGTTGGTTAAATACGAGGCACCAAGTGACCACGCATATCACACTGCTGGTTTCTTTTGGACCTACCAAGCTTACCGTCAGACAGGTCGAGCAGAAATTCACCGTGAATTGGAAATGGTACATCTGAGATCAAGCCCAGGCAGGACAGAAGGTACAAGTAAGTTGCATGAACAATTTGTCTCAATTCACATGACACCCACTACTGTTGCACCAATACCTTTCTTGAGCTCATATGTAAGGCCATATGGAGGACATGTTTGATCAATAGAAGAAGGACAAAAAAAGTCTAAGTTTAGTCTATGGATGGGATAGCTTGGTATCAGGGTGCAAGCCAAGTGATTGGCAGTTGCTTTCCTGCCACAATCATGGGTGGCCTAGACAGACAGTGGAAAGGAAGCATCTTCTCAATGGGTGTCTTGTGATTACCCCACCAAAGTGAAATGCAGACCTGATTCAGAATTAGGTTTGAATGTAGAAACTGGTGATGTAATACACATGGAAAGTGTGTGAAATTTTTATTATTCAAATAATGAAGCTTTCTAGGGAGAGCAGGAAAGACTTCCAAGCAGGTCTGAAAATGGATTGAGAAAGCAGGGACTGCAACAAGGATTCTTGCATGTAGACCAGGTCTTACATGGTTTGAACTTCCCACCAGCACAAGGGAAGCACCATTTGGATTTGTTCTTCAGCCTGCCCAGGTGTGAGGTGAAAGCGGAAGAGGGAGTGGTGATACTTAAAGGATGTCAGCAGTAGAACATCAAAAATGGTATCAGCCTCTTTATTACAGAGTGGGAGATAAGTGGTACATTTGATTATCTACTTTGTGTGAAAAAATAAATGCCCTATGATGGTGAGGCAATGGCCAGTGGCCTTGCCAGATGTTCAAGGTTGACACAGAAGGAAAAGGATTTGAAAATTGGACAAGGAAGAAGAGGTATAAACATGTGAATAGATACACGGAAGTAGACGTGACTGGGAATTTTTTTATACAAACATGAACACCTCCCCACCAAAACAAAAACAGAAACAAATTACAAAACAATACAAAAAGATAACCACAGAAAAGGCACAGAACAACCAGGTAAACAAAACAAGCCATCTAATTGACATAGCCTTGGTCACTGGTCACACTGAAACTGCCTCAATGGATAAATGAATTGAGTCGCTATGGTAGTAGAGATGAAAGTACACACGAGCCCAACAGTATGAAATCCTACTGACCAAGGTTGATCTAGCTGCTGACCCTGAATGTCCAACAGAGACCAATACTGAGTCTCAAAAATGTCAATATTTTTTGAGGTGACTAACCAGCCACTTGGTAGCAAGTCAACTGCATTGAGCCCATTTTATCCTACAGGAAGAGCAAGCAGTTCATTCTTAAAATGATAGAAGGCTATTTTCAGCATAGGGTTGCCTTTCCTGCCTGTACAGCCTTACCATGTACCACTATTCTAATACAGAGGGACAAAAATCTCACACAGTATAGCATTTAACTGAACATCAACATAGCAAAAGAGGTACAGGAGTGGGCCCAGGGCAAAAAGATCCATTGGCCATGTCACATACTATGTAATTCAGAAGCAGTAGGTCTTGTACAGTCTTGGTGCAGACTACTGAAGACACAGCCAGAGGCAATGTTCTTTAAGGATGTGGTGTAGTTTTTCATGATGCAGCACATGTATTAGATCAGATTACCCATTATGAGCATGTCTAGATGGTGCTGTGTCACCGCTAGGAAGAACAAAGGGTCTAGGATTTAAGAGATAGAAGCAGCAGTGGCCCCTATAACAACTGCTTCCAATGACCTACTTGGGGACTTCATGTTTTCCATTCCTGCAATTCTGGACTTTTTAGAATTAGAGTTCCTGGTCCTCAAACAGGGCATATTCTTGCCAGAGGACACAAGAAGGATCTCATTAATCTACAAGCTATAGCAGCTTCCAGAACTCTTTGGACTTTTTGCATCCAGAGATCAGAAGATGAGGAGTCACCACCTTGCCAGGCATAATTAACCCTGATCAGCAAGATAAGGAGGGCTGCTTTTACACAATGAGGGCAGACACAAACACAGGCATATACCATAGAGTGACACTTCAGTGAATGATGGACCACATATATTAGAGTAGTCTCACAAGCCTATAATGGAGCTGAAAAATTCCTATTACTTAGTGACATCATAGATGTTGTAAAGCATTATGTTTCATGAGTGATGCTAGTATTAACAAATATGCTGCATTCCCAGTTGTAAAAAGCCTAGCAGATACAATTACGTATACAGTTCATAATACTTGACAATGATATTAAATGACTATTTTACTGATTTGTGTATTATACTATACTTTTAACATTATTTTAGGGTGTACTTTTTTTACTTATATTTAAAAACTTAACTGTAAAATAGCCGCAGGAAGGTCCTTCAGGAGATATTCGACAAGAAGATATTGTTATCATGAGATGACAGTTCCATGTGTGTTATTGCACCTTGAAGACAGAAAAGATGTGGAGGTGGAAGATAGTAATATTATTGATCCTGAACATGTGTATACCTAGGCTAATGTGTGTGTTTGTGTGTTATTTTTAACAAAAATTTCAAAAGTAAAATAAAAAATTCAAAAATAGAAAAAATACTTAGAGAATAAGGATATAAGGAAATAAAATAGTTTTGTACAGCTTTATAATACATTTGTGTTTTACACTAAGGGTTATTAAAAACAGTCAAAAAATTAAAAACAAATTTAAATGTTTATAAAGTCAAAACATTACAGTAAGTTAAGGTTAATTTATTATTGAAAAAGAAAACTTTTTAAATAAATTTAGTGTAGCCTAAGTCTATAGTGTTCGTAAAGCCTACAGTAGTGTATAGTAATGTCCTAGGCCTTCACCTTCACTCACCACTCCCTCACAGAGTCATCCAGAGCAATTCCCATTCCTGCAAGCTGGGTAAGTATCATATAAATGGTAAGTGCCCTATACAGGTACACTTTAAAAAAAATCTTTTATATCATATTGTTACTGTACTTTTTTTATGTTCACATATTTTACATATACAAAACCACTGTATTACAAATGCCTACAGCATTCAGTAGAGTAACATGCTATACAGGTTTAGCCTAGGACCAATAGGCTATACCATATAGCCCAGGTGTGTAGTAGCTTATACCTCTAGGTTTGTATGAATACATTCTATGATATTCATATAACAAAGAAATTGCCTAATAACACATTTCTCAGAATGTGTCCCCATCATTAAGCATTGCATGACTATATATGTAGAATCCACATGATACAAGAGGGTACTTTTTGGTACTCACTTGCCCTGTTGTAATTATAAATAAACAGATCAAGGGCTCAGTCCTCTGAGGATTGAAGGTTTATATAAGTGTACCAGAATGACCACTAAAACCTGCTAAGTTGATGGCTGAAGGTGAAGGAATTTTAGAATTGATGGTAAAGGAGAGGAAGAATGAGTACTAGTTGTGGCCCTTAGACCAACTACAGCAGAGGGTTGTAGTTTGTCTCACTGCCCTTCCTCATCTAAGTTTCCGTTCAGGAGCTGAGAACCATGTATTGGAGAAGGTCCTTGCCCAATAGAAATAGAAAATTAGATCTTCCCAGGGCAAAGGGTAAACTCTATGACCGTGGAGTTGTGTCTTTTAGATTTCCCTTTAAGATAAGTTGCTGTGAAAGCATAGTTGATTGATAGTCTATAGCAGCCATGGCTTCAAATCCACCCTGGCACTTATCCCAAACTGTGCTTTTTCTGGGCTTCTCTAAGATGATGACTGGGCATAGCAGTGGTGTTATATCTAGACTTTTCCTGTATGACCCTTTAATGGGCAACTTTTGCTTGGGAACTCTCCATTGATCTGGAAGTCTCAGCACTGCATTGCAATTTGAACCTTTTCGCATTTAATCTTCTTTCCTTTCCCTTCCTCACTCATAGACTTCAAACCCACAGTATGGTGTGATCAGAAGAGATCAGTAAAGAAAACTACTAAGAAAACTGGCTGATAACTCAAACCCATATTATTTGTGAATCTGAGCTAGAGTTGAGTGATGCTAACTCATATCTCCATCAATGTTTTAGTTGGTTTATAGTTGATGTCCTGGGATTTTCTGGAGCTGTAATCAAACACCGGAAACAGTACTTGGATTTTGAATGGATGTGTTGGGGTAGAAAGTACCTCAGGAGACATTCTTAGAGGGAATTAATCTGAAGAAAACTCTGATTGCAAAATGGAGGTCATGGAAAAGTACTAACAATCTTTTGTTGAGTTTACATTGCATCGGAAAATGTCCCATGTGAAAATTTTAAAATATTTTGCACAGCTATGAAATGATGAGAACTTCAATACTGAATTTACTGCTGTGCCCAACTTTTCCTATTGCCTACACCTAAATATTGAATTCAAAATATAAAAATCCTAAACCACAAAATATATGTAGAGTCCCCTTTATAGTACTGATTTCTCCAAGATTATTGCTACTTTTTAAAATATCAACACTTTTGTTTAAAATTAATTAATTTTCTTGTTGCTCTATTCATGGGCTTACCCTGGCTGTTGGACAACCCAGAATTGCTGTGTGCTGGTGAAGACTGAAACCACATCAGTAAGGTACAGTGAGAGTTTAGTATTGATACTTTCATATATAACCTACTTTGTTTTATATTCATTTCTACTCAAAACAAAAACAAAAGCAAAAAAAAAAAAAAAAAAAAAAAAAAAAAAAACAGAGAAATCAGGCTTTCTCACACCACATCCCAAAGTTGTCTAGTAAATCACTGCATGCAAGTAAAGCATTGTATGCAGGTAATACACAGTATATGCAGATCTTTCTTTAACCTTCAAGTTTTGTATCTTTCTGATATTGATCCTGGGAGACAGTTAAAAGAATTTGTCTCATGATCCTCTCATGCACAAGGGGAGCAGAGCAGACTGGTGTTTAGATCAATAAAGATGTCCTGGGTGTCCTTACCTGTAACAAGTTTTGAACTTATAAGCAGGTGAAGCATAGCAATGTTTCTCATAGAGAGACGCAGATTTGTTAAGGAAGGCATCTCTCCCTGGCCTCCCATTTTGTATTTGACTACAATGTGTAATTAATCAAAATATTTGTAGGAAGTTTTATGGAATATGGCAAGTGGTGAGTTAAAGGTTAGGGAAATGGGAGAGGGTAAAAAAAAGTACAGTACATTTTCTTTTGAATAGAATTTATTATTGAATTTAAAATTCTATATGAAAAGCCCCTATATGCAACTGCTCAACAACTATAAAGCTCTTGCAAATTTGGTGTTCAGAAGGCACTCAATAAATATTGATTATTTCTTAACAAAAATAATAAAAACAACATTATAACTAATGCTGCGTGTTCTAAAACTGTTTCTTAAAAGTAACCCATAAACAAACTTCTAGGAGAAAAGTGAAATGCCAGAATAAATGCCCGATTGCCTATATTTAATTATAAAGGTAGAAAAAATTGCTAAAAGATAGATTGGAAGATCATACCAGGCTTTTCATGTAAATGAATCATCCTGAAATCAAAGCATGGAAGTGTTCAATATCACTGGTATGGGACTATTAAAAGTTACTAGTAATGTTTCAGGATTGTTTAAACTTTTAACCAATCTTAATCCAACAAAGGTTGTAGGCAATCTAAGTTAAAAACCACACTCATCCCTGGAATTACGTTAGGACCAAAGCCGTGTTTCCGATCAGCATTTAATGGTTCTCCTGACAATGTATTTGGTTAGAAGAATAAAAATATATTAGCATAAAGCAGAACAGGAAAGAAAAAAAATTCCTCTGGAAATAGAATAAATCAGATTTGAGGTTGTCACCACAAATATTCAAGACAAATTTCTCCTTAATTCTATTTTATATATAAAAAAATAAGACATCATACAGCATTTATGTTCCTGTCTCCCCTGCCAAATTTTTCAAAAGCGTACTTTGGATATTTATGGTTTGATGAAGTCTAAAAGAAATTGTTTTAATCTTTTTCCTTTTGGTATTAGCAACTATGTGTAATTTCAGAGATACTTAATTCATATGTTTCTAATCCATTTGCAATTAAAATTATTTTAAAAAATAACTTTTGAAGCTTTTAGAATTTTTTCCCATGAAGAAAATGAGGTCATGCTTTGCCAAGAAGGTATGAACTTGAATATTCAAAAGTTTAAGTTAGGTTTAAAGTTTCAACAACAAGAACATTCACTGGGCTCTCAACTCAATATATAAATAAGTTCTCAGGTTTTCTGTTTCTCACCTGCTAAACTTCCCAGGGTTATGATGTGAGTCTTAATCAATTGATTCAAGCCTCTCTAAAGGTACAAAATATTGGATTTTGTGAAAGGGGGAAGCTATGTTTTAAATAAATCTGTCTGTAATCTTTGCGATATAGGAGAGGACACGGTTGCACTTCCGAAGAACAGAGCTGGGCACAAAAATGTAGCCTCTTGAAACCCATTGGCACCACTTATACTCTCTCCTCAGTTCTAACAGATATTAAGATCTAAGTTCAGATGCATTCCCAAGCCATGTGCACCTCCACCAGTGTGTCCTAGGAAGCCAACTCTCTCCCAGACAGTGGAGATTCCACAGAAAGTTATCAAAAGCTAGATTCAGATACACTTTGCACAACAAAGTGCTTGTGCTTGATTCTATTGAAGCCAGTATTAAATTGGTCTTAGACTATTTGAATAAAAATGAAGCTCATGTTTATCTCCAGAAAGGTTCTGACTCTATTTTTTTTTTTTAATAAGAGAAACTATTAGCATATTTCTAGAGAATGATCACATAGGCTTCTGACACTGAGGTGGACCTGCACCTGGGTCCAGAGCTGAGCTACACTAGGAGAGTCCTCAGGCATCTGCACCTCGCCCTTCTGCATGGCCCATATTTCCCTGATTTTTCCAGGGTAGCAGAAGGTACAACAATGGTCTGTTGCCCTGGAAACACTGCACCGTGGCTAGCCACAGGACTTTCTTGGCTTGCGCTGGGGAGTTGGACAAGCCCTACTTGACTGCTGTCGTTATTAAACACAGGAGGAGAAAATAGTAACCATTAAGTGCTTTACAAAATGCCCTACTGTTTATACCCATGTCTGTCCTCCTAGTTGCCTTTAAGGCCCAGGGTTGGGACAAAGTCTATCTTTATTTTATGCATTACTGACAGACTAAAGAGAGGGCAAGGAGTGTGCTGGAAAGGACACTGGATTAAAAGTCATAAGATTTGGTTTTAGCCACAAACCAGTTGTGTAACCTTTAGCAAGTTACATAAATTAAGCAGTTCTCAGTGTTTTCATGTGAAAAAAAAATGACCTGGTGATCCTTTGGTTTCCTTATGTCTGTATAAAAGTATACAGTTCTGTGTTTCTAAGTGGTGGAAGTGGGGTCAGATGGAGTGACAGAACGTCCCTTACTAACACATGTATCATTTTCAGGGAAAGGTTAGGCTGTGCTCATGTCATGCTAAAATTAAAATTTCATCCAATTTCCTGGCGTTTTAATTTCATGAAGGGCAGAATTGGTGCTCCCATGTATATAGATAGATGAGTTGTGGTAGGTCAGTCTGGAAAAATACTCTGCTTCCATCTGACAGTGGCCATAAGAGATGGGGAAACAGAGGCCAGTCAGTTCATCTCGTGTCAGACTTGAAAGACCGCTTGTGCATTTATGCTTAAAAGAGCTGACTCAGGAGTGCTGTGACAGCCTTTAACTTAGAATTCTCTTATTTTTCTGGATTTCTGTCTCCTTCTTAATGGTGTTTTAATGCAGTTTTTGTGTTCAATTATAATAGTGTTGCTAAATACAGTAGGTCTGATTCCACAGAAGAAGAATAGTTTTTTCAAAATCAGCATTTTCCTGCTGATTTGCCAGCTGTTTCAATAAATACTCATCTCCCAACTTCAAACGAGTATATTGCACTCTTACTAAATATAAATGCCATCCACAGCTACTGTATTCTGGCTTTTGAGTTCTCCACAAAATCTGCACTATGAGGGACCCCTTTCTCAACTATGTGCAGGTGATTTTGCTGACTCAGGTGTCCTGAAGAGTAGTCGGTGTTTGTTTTTCTAGTCATTGCTTCCCAATGTAAATGTCTAAGTATAGGCAGGTGAATTAGAACCTTCTCCTATGGTTTTGTCATCTCTACTAGTTCTATCTCTGAACCACAAGAAATGATTAGTCAGGGCAGCCTAAAATTATAATAATAATATCGTATCTATTTTATAACTGTTTTTTAAAATGACTTTGACCTGCCTGATGAGATAGGATAAAATATGAAATAGGCTGCAAGCATAATTGTTTTTCTTTTGACATAATAGAAAAGTAAGATATATGATTTCGGTATAAGGAGCAGGCATTGTTAAAATAAACTAAACTGATAGCATGTATTATATGCAATATAAACTTTGTACTGTTGTACACTAATATAGTAATAACCCTGGCTAAGGACCAGCAGGAACATAAGACTATATTTTCAGCCACACATTGTTTTTCTCACAGTCCTCATTGAATTGTATGTGTGCATTTTTCTTATTTTTAATCAGCATTACAAGAAATACAAGTAATTAAGCCTTTCAATATCTCCTAACAATAGTAAAAAGGCAGCTATAGTAATTGCAGTAAGCATATTTGTTGGTGTTTGTATTTAGAAAAATACTAGTTGGTCTTTTATTTGACAGAAACTGAAGCTGGAGAATTGTTACAGAAACAAATGCAATTCAGAAACAAAGTTGCTTCCCTTAAATTTTTTTTGTTGCAATTCTACACTTTTGAGTAAACATTTCTATCCAAAAGAGCAGTCAGGTTAATTAAAGGAGAGTAGGAATTGCTGGGTTCTTGGGTACTAGCCCCCACTGTTTGAGCCTTGGATTGATAACAACTCTGTGGTAACTATGTGTCCACCACCACCAGGCTGACAATTTTCCAATCAAACTGTTTTTACCATATCCTCAGACAATGAGGAAAATGTGAGGCCCTAAGGTACTGAGCCAATGGCACTGCACTAGCAGACACATGGGTGGCCAAGAGCAAATGGCCAGAAAACACTCTTACTTGGTAACATGTTGTTTTCACAAAATGACATTAGTAGCCCACCCTGAATTCTTGATCCACAGACTATCTACACATAAAAACCAAGTTGAGAGGGCAAGTAGCCTGAATGCAAACTACCAGGTATTGACTAGATTTGGCCACTTTTGGTCATTGGTTTTTGTCAAAATAACTGACCATTTAAATGAATTCAATCATTTGCAAAATCAGTTTGTGGATGCAGACAGAGCCACAGTCTAACATAGTTGACATTCTTTTCCTTGCAGCTGGAATTAGAAATTAGACACTTTTTTAGACTCTCATCCATTCATAGCCCATTTTCTTTGCATACTTTATGGTTTGAGATTTCTGAAATAAATTTTATATGCAAAGTTTGATTTAAAATGTTTTAAATCAATGTAAATGGAATTGTTTACAGTATTTTCTACAACTTTTATCAGATGATCATCATACTTACATTAAAGCATACACATTTAGAAACATTCTTCGGTTTAATATGAGGTTTATAGATAAAACTAGTTTAGTATAATTGTTACACCTTATCTGGAAATTTTGGTGTTATGATTTGCAATTTAAAGAAGAGTTATCTTTCTGATTGTTTAAAAAAATCCTCATTAGAAATTTTGAAATGACTCCACTTTTTAACACTTTTGGATTTATTTATTTTTTATTTTTATTTACTCCTTCCACTGGAATGTAAGCTCTTTGAGGTGGGGGCTCTGTCTATGTTTTTGATAGTTATACACTGACTGCTTAGAGTAGTGCTTGTCCTGCAGCATGCTTCCCTCAAATACATATTATATTCAGACATTTCTAAAATTGTATTATGTGCATAATGGGTGCCAAATGCCACGGCAGATTCTAGGGTCGACCACCAAGAAAAATGCAGGCTTTCTGTACAAAAGATTCTGACAATCAATAAAAAGAGAGATAAGTGAAAAGATTACTACAATATATTATACTTTGTTAAGTGTAAATATGGAAAGGCGTACATGGAAACACAAAGAAGTCTTCCAAAAACAAAAATAGGAGAATTATGGAAAATGACCCATAGTAAGTGATGTCTTGGGTAAGATTTAAGACGAAGAAGAATTGAACAAATGAAGGGGCAACAGAACAATGGCTGGAGGAGTATCCAGGCAACTAACTCTTGAAAGGCCATGTAAACTCAGTTTTTACAAATGGACTTTAATTTAAAGGTAACAAATTCAGTAAAAATTGGTTTATAGGAATATGTCATAGAAGAGGTGTGTTTTAGAAAGATTTTTGATTGTCGTGTGGACAATAGGTGGGAAAAACACTGAAAGAATCCAGTAGGAAATAAAGCAAATTTAAAATAAGCCAATGACTTTGCAGCTGAAGAAACTTAAATGGATTTGAGAAATATTTAAGAAGCAAGATGAAAAGCATTAAGAGTCTTATGGGTTTAGGGGATGGGGAAGAAAGAGCAAGTAGAGCTAAGGGTAATTCCCAGTATATGGCTTAGAAATTTGGATGGATCATGGTGTCATGAAATAAGATAAAAAATACAGGACAAGTTGTTTATGGGGGTTGGTGTTTGGGAAGACTCATAAAATTAATTAGGAACATATTTAACTTGAGATTCTAGGGTCACTCTAAAGTGGAAGTGCCCAGTAGAAAATGAAATACATGTATATGGTGCTAAGGAGAGTGATGCAGGATGAGAGAAGGCGCTTGGAAGTCATTAACACAGAGATGGAAGGAAGGTCATCAGGGAGAAGGAGAACATGAGAAGAGGGCTGAGGATGGAATCCTGAAGAGCACCAAAACATGAAGAACAACTGTGAAAAAGAAGAAAACCAAATGAGTATGATAAAATGTGTAACACTAGAGCCCAGTTAGAGAAACAGCAAGAGAAGTACATTTTAAGGGGAATAAAGACAGTGTCCAAAAGGGCATTAAAATTAGATAAGATGAAGACAGGAAAAATATTGAAAATAAAGATTCTTTCACATTTTGCAATTAGGTGGTGATTGGCCAACCACACTGAAATAGAATAGTGCAGTCAGTGGATTGGAAAATAAAGATAAGTTAGTAAGTGAAAGACAGATTCCTTTTTATGGATAGAGTAGCACGTGAAAGAAACTGAGTTTAAAAGGCATAAAAGATTTACAGAATAGCATTTTAGTTTTCTCCGTGATTATTTGTTTCAATATTGAATAGACTTAAAAGAGTATAATTAAAAGAATATTGTCTGTGATTTGGTGGAAGGTGATGGAATCCAGGCCACAAGAGATATTATCAGCACTGAATGGAAGAGAGACAACATTTCTGTGAGATGTTAGGGAAAGAGTGAAGTGCATGTGGTTGAAGGTTAAGTTGTTGTTGGTGGTGTGGCTCATGGTTTTCATTTTATCTTTGATGTCAGGCTGATGACAGGGGAAAAAGCTTTAGTAAGTTAGTAATTTTTTGAAATAAATTTTATATAGAACACGATAGTGTCATTCTGGGGTGCATTTTTCAATATAACAGCATAGGTTTAATCCTACACAAATTAGATATCCTCAAATTTTATGTGTAGTGATTGCTTGTTAATGTCTACAGTCAAGCTCAGTCTTCTCCAGACATATTATCTCGATTACAGTTTATTCCCACTGGCCACCTACCTGTACGGTACCCCTGGGCAGGAGATGAATGTTAAGATAGTAAGAGTAGGGGAAAAGACAGTGGAATAGGTAGTCAACTGACTCTGGCTTTGAAACTTGCTTTTCTAT